>NC_000011.10:34605454-34756969 GCF_000001405.40 Homo sapiens | reverse complement strand
ATAATATTTGTGTTTCTAAGCATAGAAAAAGTACAGTACAAATACAGTATTATAATCTTATGGAACATTGTTGTATACGTGGTTCATTGCTGACTGAAACATTGTTATGCAGTGCATGACTATAACTGGACATCTGCTTGGATGGAAGGCAGTCTCTGAACAGCTTTTTTCTTTCTCATTAAAAGAGATCACATAAGTCTGGCACTACCTTTCCCCCACTCCTTCCTGCCTTATGTATGCACTTGGTATTTGGGAGTATGACAGTCATCTTGTAAACAAGAGGAAAAGATCAAGAGAATCATCTTGGCATGATGGAGGTGCTCAACTTATGCCTGCAACCACCTGCCTCCTGATGTTAAGTCAAGACAATTTTTTCCATCCTTGTTGTTCCCCTGTATTTGGAGTAGCTCAAGTAGTATGATACTCTCAGTTTTGTAAGAGTCATTGTGGAATAGGGCACCCAATCTGATTCCAAGATTTGAGAAGTTGCTTGTACACAAAAGGCACACATACCTGATTTGCAATTGTAGCTATTTAATAATTAAATATTTTTCCATGTATATGTGTTATTTTTAGTATCTATTAATTTGTTAGCACATAAATGTTATGAAGTTATATGAAACTAACTACTTAATATAACTGTGAGAATTTTTTTTGGCTTAAGACACTAGAAAGTTTACTAAGACAGAGTATACCTTTAACTAAGAGTGTTCAGAAGACCCTGACTTAAGTAATAAATGAATAAACATAAAAGGGAGGTTTACTGGTGCAGAGTGGAATGAAGAGGTCATTTGAGGAATAGCAGAGTGACTCTCCTTTGTTCTTCCTCTTAAAAAGGAGAGGCCTCCTCTTTATAAAGAAATCTTTATTTTTTTAGAGATAGATAGGGTCTCACTATGTTGCCCAAGCTGGCCTTGAACTCCTGGGCTCAAGCAATCTTCCTGCCTTGGCCTCCCAAGTAGCTGGGACTACAGGCGCATGCCACTGTACCAGGGCATGATTCTTCTTTTTTAAATGCCAGATTGTAATTGCCATATTACTTCCCACTGTGTTTATGTAACCGCGAGCTTCCGCTGCACTTTCTGCATTGAAAGAGTTTTCTAGCTTCATTGGCACCTCACAGTTTCCACTCCCACAGCCTTCTGGGAAGCATACCTCCTCCACAAAGCCTCTCTTGACTAGGAGGAAGTCTCATGATTTTTGTACTTTCCCCTTCATCTCAAACGCAGCATCACGAGCTCTTTGCACAGGCAGAAATGATAGGCTGGTGAGCTCAGCGGTATGAAGGATCTTGCCTCTCATTAGTGATTGTGTGTTTTTCCTTCTCTCTAGTGTAGATGTCTTTGTTTCAGACTATAAACTCTTAGGTGAGTGCTTGAATCAGCCAAAAGCCAACCTCATTTTAAAAAATTTGACAACTATTTGTTGAGGACCAAGTATGTGTCAAGCACATCCTTTTTGATGATGAGTTTGCCACAGACAGCCCTTGCCTTCATCTTGGCAGCCAGGGCTCCGTGAGGTGCTCTGCACCAGTCTGGGGGTACCATTCACATAGACATTTGCAGGGCATCCAGGACTTCTGCATCATGGCAGGCCTCCTGACAGATCTTTCCAATTTCTAGTGAATATGAGATAACCAAAGGCCACTGAATAAAGCAGTTTAAAGCTTAGGCTTTGGTTCCAAATTCCATCTCAATCATTTACCTGCAAGTTCACTCAATGCTCTGAGCCTCATTTTCTCACTTGGAAAAAGGAATTCTGGAGCCTCACAGAATTATTTTGAGGGTTAAATAAAGAAACATATACATAATGAGCTCTCAACACAGTAGTTGACACATATTTATATGTATATATATATATATAAAATGAGGATATATATGTTTTATATATATAATAAGGGAATATATATTTAACAAAATTAATATGCTGGGGGCTTTTGGGAACAGGCAAAATTTCAAGATAGCAGCATAATCTCCGTTAGTCAAGATGTTTACTGTTGTATCTCTAGCCTAGTCCAAGGCATAGCACATAGTAGGTGGTCAAAAAATGTTCGATAAGTGAACTTAGTAAGTCTTACATTTTCATAACTCTTTCTACATTTCAAGACATGATCACATCTGAATTTTAATTCAATTCTGGTGATAATTGTGAAAGAAGGCAAATAAGGTGGCCTTATACTGATGGAGTTATTACCAGATTTTTGGCACTGTGCTTTACGTGTATTATTTCATTTAATACTCGACTCAGCCTTTGAGTCCCATTTTATAGATAAGGAGACTGAGGCTTCAAGAAGCTAAGTTACTTGCTCAAGGTCACCCAGCTAGTCAAGTGACTGAACTAGGATTCGCCATTCAGTACATACTCATTCGGTTCCCACTGCGTGGCAGCCAGAGCTGAGGATTTCGAAATTCAGAGGTCAGGAGACAGAGACTCTCCTTAGGTAGCAAGTGAACATTTTTCTTGTCAAAGTTACTCTGCTGTAGTTTTTGCTGGAACATATTCTGGATCAATCCTGAAAATGGAAAAAAAAAAAAATAAATAAGCAGCAGCTCATATTGTTTACACAACATGTAAGGATTTCACATCCACATGTAAAATTAGTATTATGATTGCACAGTGTGGGAAACATCCAAATGAAGCATTTAGCCAAGACCAGTCCATTCAGCATGTTATGACAAGGGGTAGGCTTGGGCCAGGAGCCCTGCTGCACGTACAGAGATGTAGGGAGTTGAACAAAAGTGCAGACACTAGAATCAGTCTGGCTGGGTTTGCGTTCTGACTCCATTACTTTTCAGCTTGAAGGAGTCACTTAACTAGCCTGGGATTTAGTTTCCTCATATATAAAGTGGGATTGTGAAAGTAAGTAATTCACAACATGGATGAATCTCAAAAGCATTAGGCTGAGTGGAAGAAGCCAGAACAAAAGGCTACATACTATACAATTCCATTTATGACATTCTAGAAACAGCCATAAAACAGATCAGTAGTTATTTGGAGGTTCATGGCAAGGGGGTGGGGTAGGGGGCAGTGACAGGATTGACTATATAAAGGTGCATAAGGGCACATTGTGGAGTGATGGAAATATTTGATATTTTGGTTGTGGTGTGGCTATATGACTCTATATACATTTGTAAAAACTCATCATCTTGTACGTCTAAAGAGTGAATTTTACTGCATTTAAATTATGTCTTGATAAAACTGACTTAAGAAATACAAGTAGTTCATGGGTTCTTGCCACCACTAAATTAAATAATGTCTGTAAAGCACTTGGAATAGCACCTAGGAGAGAGTGAGCTCTCACTGTGCATTCGCTCCTGTTACCAAGTGAGTTCATTCAAGTTTGCATGTCTCTGAAATCCAACAAGAAATCTTCAGAAGGCAGGATGAAAAAAACTGAAATGTTTTTCATGAATTCTTAACATAATATTTATTACTCAATAGGAGATGGTGAAGGAAGTCAAGTTCATCAGAATAAATGCACAATCTTCTAATGTACCATTAAAAATTCACCAACTATCACCAATGTGAAAAATAGAGATGGATAATGAATTAAAATGGTATTTAATCTATACTGTTCTCTGGCTGCGTGTAATTACTTACTTAAAAATATCAAAAGAAATACCGGGACCAGTCAAGAATGCAGGCTACTCTTTCTCTCACTCTTTCCCCAGAATCAGTCCCCCAAAGTTGCATGATTTCTACAATTTTTGAAATCTCTGCAATTTTTTTGGTCCCAAAACTCTGGCATTAGCCACTCCAGCCACTCTGGGCATGATCCAGACATAGCAGTGAGATGGCCTTGGAGGTGTTGACCTGTGCATGAACCATTGTCCTGCAATCTTCTCCTCATAAGGTTGAACTTCTGGGGCCTGAGGTTGAATCCCAAGCTCTGCCACCAACTGCTGGATGATGTGGAGCAAGACTCCTATGTCTCTGTGCTTTAGTTTTCTCATCTGCAAATTCCAGGAGTAAGCCTAGGTGATCTAGAACTGCTTAACAAGCCAACTTCTAGAATTCTGCAACCTCTGGAATCAGGAGGCAAACATGCTTTGGTTCTAATCTTAATGTGTACCAGTAATAAAAATTCTCTGGGCCAGAATTTTCTTGTATGTAAGATGGAATAATAATAATACCCACCTCCACAGGCTCTCTGTGAAGAGCAAATGGATGATGTATGCGAAAGCTCCTAACAAAGTTTCTGGCCCCCAAATTGTACCTTTCTTTCCTCTCATCTTTTACTCCGTTCTTCCTTGCTGCCACCCTCCCTCTTCCCTATGAGTATAATGGACTCCCACATAATTTTAAAAATTTATATTTTTGTTCCATTTATCGAAAAAGCACATCTGGTCTTGAACTTGCATATTCATAGTGTCATATGCCAAGTACTATTGCTAGGTGAAAATGCTGGTTATTCATTAACAGAGAGTTTAAATACGTTTTTAACTATGACAAAGGTAAAATAGCTCAGAATGCTAAAACTGACCTCTTGCTCTTTTAGATACTTAAGTTGATTATCTAAAAGTTTCTTTACCCCTGTTTTTCACTTCATTCATTCATTTGTACATTCAACAAGCAATTTTTGAGCCCCTCTATATGCCTGACACAACACTAGGGACCAGGGATACATAAATGAATCAGACATTGGCCAGGCGTGGTGGTTTATGCCTGTAATCTCAGCACTTTGGGAGGCCAAGGTGGGTGGATCACCTGAGGTCAGGAGTTCAAGACCAGCCTGGCCAACATGGTGAAACCCCGACTCTACCAATAAAACAAAAAGGGCTTGGTGGCACGTGCCTATAATCCCAGCTACTTGTGAGGCTGAGGCAGAAGAATCGCTGGAACCTGGGAGGTGGAGGTTGCAGTGAGCCAAGATTGCACCACTGCGCTCCAACCCCAGCAGAGCAAGACTCCATCTCAAAAATAAAATAAAATTAAATAAAATAATCAGGCATTGTCCTTAAGTTCCAAAAATTGCCAGGTGAATGGAAGGAGGCACAGGGGATATGATAGAAGTCTGTTGAGGATACATTAGGGGCCAAAGAAGGGCATAGTGGGTTCTTCCAGAGAGCAGTCAGGAAAGCCTACACGGAAGAGCTGAGGCTACACTCAGGTCATGGCAGATGAGTAGATGTTCATCAAATCAAGGTGCTGAAGAAGGAAACAGCATGCAGAGACAGCAGGATGCACAAAGGCCTGAGTGTGTGCAATAGCCTTGTATAATCTGGCAAGTGCACTTTGGTTGGGGTGGTGGGAATGTAGGGTACAGAGTGGTGAACTCCATGAGAGAAGAAGCTGGGAGTCCTAGAACAGTTCTCTTTGAGCAAATGCTGACCTGCTCAGGACAAAAGGACATCAGATGCTGCACAATTGTTGGTGGCAACAGAAGAACAACTCACCAAGTCCTAACTCCATTGCCCACTATTCACACCGGCCGGCCACAGCTCTGTTGCCTGCGATGGGTCTGGAAACACTTCTCTAGGGTTTTCCTGGGACTCTACAACACTTGGATTGATTTCTTTCTGTATCAGGTCATACTCCTTAGAGGCAGCACTAAATGGAAGGCATTTGTTTAAATTCTGATACCTTGATTGAATTTTTCTTCATAACAGGACCAGATTTTTCACTGTCTGCACATTCATTGCTCAGGCACAAGATTAAGAAATAAATTTGTTGTTTATAAGATGAGGACCCACAATATTCAGTAAGGAGAGATGAGTTGTCAACAAGGGAATCAAGAGTTATCAAATGTCTAAAATGTGCCAGATGCTTTTTAACTTTTTCACAACCCAGTGTGGAATTTAGATATTTACCCCTCTGATTACAAATTCATACTCCTTCCACTTATACCACCTTGCCTCCAAGGTCTCTTCTCAAAGAGCCTTTGCTTCCAAGGAGCCAAAAAGAAAGGAAAGTGAGGAGAAGAAAGTGGTCTTCCCTTCTCCTAATGTCTTATGGAGGCTGCTGATAAACAAAGACCCAGAGTTCCAGTTTAGATTTATGTGAGGGAAAAGTCTAAGGCTTGGAGCTAATACAAGAGCATAGCTAGACTATCTTGGCTACCTACAAAGTTGGGAAAAGCACCACAGACACTTTGGCTCCTAGTATTAAGTGGAAACATGAAGAGAAAAGAGTTCGCTTACAGATATAGTGAAGTTTTGGAACAAAGATAGATAGAAAAGAATGTAGCAAAAGAAACAAAAAAAATTTCTTCTCTTTCAGAACCTATTCCTTTTGCCTATTTTGCAAAGAGAATTTTCCCCCATTAAATGGTATCATTCTCCTTATTTTGTCTACCTTTTTCATTCTTTCCTAGATTCCTTTCTTCTATATTTCTTTATTCCTTCTTTGCATTCTCCCTTTTCTCCTCTCTCTTTTTTTCTTTCTTGGTCCTTCAAGCTCTTTCTTAAAGTTCAAATTGAAATACCAGCCTTAATCCCTGGGAAGCAGCTCTGTTTTCCCTGCCATGGCATTGCACAACTTGTGGTGTGGCTCGCTGCCACCATTAGCTGTGCAGTGAGGTTTTATGTAGCCAGGGAACATCTTGTACAATGCAATTTTTTATCAAAACCAAATAGCATAACAATGCATACAGGGCTTCGTTCACCTCAACTTCATAAAGATTTCACTATGATAAAAACAATGAAGTTGACATCTAAAATCCATCTCTCTTTGAAAATAAATGGCCCCAGTGCCTCTCCCTTCCCTCTCCACCCTTCCCAGGTCCCCTTCCAAAGCCCCCACTTGCTCACCGACCCCCCCTTCTTATCATCAAGTGCTTCCTTTGGCTTCCAACTGTTCAGGTTTCACCAGTCTGGTGACCCATTAGGACAGGGTTGCACCACAATGGGGTGAGGCTAGACGAGAGGGGAGGAAAAGTCCTGCGTGGAAAGTCCCAGTGAAGCTGGGTTTGACTCCCCTACAATCATAGCCTCCATAATCCTGGCAAAGTAGGAACGACTTAGAGATAAGTACAGTCAAGTGTCACTTAATAACGAGGATTTGTTTTAAGAAATGTGTAGTTATGTGATTTTGTCATTTACACACATCATAAAGTGTACTTACACAAACCTAGATGGTATAACCTACTACACACCTAAGTTATATGGTATAGCCCATTGCTGCTAGGCTACAAACCTGGACAGCATGTTGCTTTATGGGATACTGTAGGCAATTGTAACACAATGGTAAGTATTTGTGTATCTAAGTATATCTAAACATAGAAGCAGTACAATAAAAATGCAGTATTATAATCTTATGAGACCACCATCATATACACAGTCCCTCATTGACTGAAACGTCATGACTGTATTCTTATTGCAGGGATCAGGACAAGAGTCACAGGCAGGAGCATCTACAGAGCTGAGCAAGTTTCAGCCCCTGGTTCAAGACGGGCCTGGCCCTGCCCATCAACATAGAGGTATCCTTAGCCAGGAAACTCCAAAGAGAGGAACAGGATGCACTTAGTCAAGATCAGGATGCAGTGAGTTGAGAATGCACTAATTTGAGAGCCCAGGATTCATGGCTCAGGCCAGGTTGTCATGGTATTAGACCCCCAGAAGGCAACGATAAAGGACAGGCTTTTCTCCCCACCAATTCCTTCCAAGTGATCCCCAACAATAGGGCTAAATGGGACTCAGAGCTTTCTCTACCTTGAGAGAATCCTTGCCTTAAACTCCCAGAAAAGCCACAGAGCTCCCAACAGGAAGGTTTCACACTGTGTCCTTGAGCATGGAAACAAGTTCTTCAATGCCAGATAGGTAGGAGGGAGGGCTGGAAAAGGAGATGGCTTGCTAAAGGCCAAGAAGAATAATTCCCCAGAGAGAAAGTCCTTGTTCTCTTTCCTACAACACAGGCTAAAAATTGAACCCCCTACCTGCCTAATTCGTGGATACCATCCAACCATTCATTCACTTATTCATTTGTTCAAGAAATAGTCAATGGGGTTCAACCACACATTAACATGATTTCATTACTCTGGGAGGAATGAAATTTATGCCAAAAAAAAGTGCCTGCTTTCATCGAGAGGAATAAATATTTAAAATAAATAAATACATAAAATCCACTAATGATAAGCCTGATGATGGGTTTTGCAGGTTTTTTGGTTTAAGAAAAACAGGGTATGAAAAAGAAATGAGCATGGGGAGTATGTGGCTACTTTAAATTACGGTGATCAGGATGGCTTCTTTGAAGAGGTAGCATCCAGGTGAGACCCACATGAGTAGGAGGCAGGGAAGGGCATTCCAGACAGAGGGAAAGGCAAGAGCAAAGCCTCGGAGACAGGAGCAAGCCTTGCATGTTGGAAAAATGCAAAGAAGTTTTGTTGAGGCTGGAGTGGGGTATCAGAGGAGTGGAGGGTGTGCAAGGAGGTTGTGGAGGCAGGGACCACCTCCAGCCTTCCTCCTGCCCTCCAGGCCACTAGGCCCATCCACAGTTCCCTGTGCCTTTACCCAGTGGCTGGGTTGATCCTGTTAAAGTTCTATCTGGGGCTGGTTTGGAGGGCCTCTGGCTTCTACTCTGTGGAGAGGCCTCTTGGTTCTATGCACCCTCCCAGGAAAGCCCCAGCCCCTTACCTCCCTGCCCAAGCATCAGACACAGAGATTAGTGAGTGATTTCTCTGGGTGTCAGCCCTTGGGTGTGAGATTTAAACCCTTAATTCCAAACCATTACAACATGGGTATCCAATTGCCTCTGATGACTTCAAATCATGATTTGCTTGTGTGTGCCAGACATTTTGTCAACGAAGGATTTCTCTGCCGGCTTCAGTTTTAAGTGAGTCTGCTGTTTACTGAAACTCCAGCCTAATTAAAAACACCCAGACAAATGACAGAATGAAAGGGCATAGAATACCTCAATGAAAGTCTCCGTGAAAGGGTTTGTGGGCTCATCTAAGGAAAAGGAATATGAAAGTGTGTGTAGTCAAAAAATGATGAGTTCATGTCCTTTGTAGGGACATGGATGAAGCTGGAAACCATCATTCTCAGCAAACTATGGCAAGGACAAAAAACCAAACACCACATGTTCTCACTCATAGGTGGGAATTGAACAGTGAGAACACATGGACACAGGAAGGGGAACATCACACACTGGGGACTGTTGTGGGGTTGGGGGAGTGGGGAGGGATAGCATTAGGAGATATACCTAATGCTAAATGACGAGTTACTGGGTGCAGCACACCAACATGGCACATGTATACATATGTAACAAACCTGCACGTTGTAAAACTTAAAGTATTATAATAATAATAATAATAAAGAAAGTGTGTGTAGTAGGGGACAGAAAAGGGACGCTGTTAAGAGCCTGAGCTCTGGACTCTGTCTGTCTGGGTTCGAATCTTGGCTCTGCCACTTGCTAGCTGTGACTCTGGGCTGATTACTACCTTCTCTGTGCTTCAGTTTCCTCATCTGTAAAATGCAGAGAGCAACAGTGTCTTTAGTGTTGTGATGATTAAAGGAGTAAATACATAGGAAGCACTTAGAGCAGTGCCTGGCAAATCATAAGGACTCAAAGGTTGTTCACTTTTATTGCTATGGGTGTGTCGTAAAGCTGATGTGGTCCTAGCTTTGTGTTCGTAATGGCTCAGTTCAGGTGGTTGGAGCTGGAGGCACTGGAGCTAAGACTGTGGGCTCAGGGCCTCAAGTCCCTAGAATCACACCACACTTCCAAATCATTAAGCTCACACACACAGGCCTTTGGTCCTAGAGGGAAAAAATACAAAGATGTAGACAGTGCATCACAAATTCATTCTTCCTTTTGGAGAGAAAAGCTCCAGGCCATGGTGGTGCATGAAAGATAATGCCTGGCGCTGTGTGAGAGAGGCTCTGGATGTGGCGCACTGACTCACTGGGCCACCAAGAGAAATCTAGTTCCCAGAAAGTTAGGTCTAGGTCTGTGCTTTCAAAATTCAAAACAAAAAATTTTAAGCAATTGACCCTTTAATTCAAATGAAATTTCACCAGGAACCTCAACATATAAAACTGATAGAAGAGTCAAAGAACCCCAGTCTCTCAGTCACCCCCTTTCTTTTTCTGACGGTCCCCGAAAGAACTGTGAGGAACATGATTTTAAAAAGACACTGACTTAACTATCAAAACCCCAAGAGAAGAAGTGTGCATCAATTCCCGCAGTTATATACCCTCTAATACTTCTATTAATTAAATTAAAAAATAATATATGTACATAGTTTAAAAAAGTAAAAATCATCTCAAAAAGCAGCAATGTCTGCTCTACTCCTTCCTACTTTTAGGTTGCTCTCCCCAAACGCAACAACTCTCAACCTTTTAAGCCGTTTCTTTGGAATTGACCTTTCTTTCTTTAAATAATATGGTTATACTGCTAGTTCTGGATTTTTCCATTGTAGACATTTCTCTTTTGTTACTCTATAGTGGAGGATAAAATTTATCTCTCTTCATCACCTCTATTTTGCTCTTCCTATATCTCTCCACAACATGACACTTCCCCTCCCCTATTCACTCATATATATCAACTTTTTGTTAATTCAATATTTGCTGTTTACATGATAATATCTATGAAAATATTGTTCACAGATGAGCCACATAATGTACTGTGGTTAGTTTTCCTTTCGTGAACATTTTTTCCTATTTTTCCTCTGCTTGGTTTTGTGTACCTACAATTAATTAATCCCAAATTCTCACATAGGGCTATAAAACTCCTAATGAAGTCAAATCTACCATGTAACTAAAGAGTTTCATGTTTTTTTGAGGGGGGGTGCAGTATATCCCTCTTGGAGATGCTTGGTCTTCCTCCCATAGTCTAGATGGGTTGCTCTGTAAGTCAGCGGTGCTGCTATTATTCTGGTCTTTCTTTTGCTATCATCCTAAGAATACTCTGAGCTTTTCTCTTGAGTTAAATACCAGGATCCTGGATTCCATGGTTTAGTTTATTCCCCCTGCCCCCACCCCACCCCTATTTTTAGGGAAGTGCATCCTCTAGTATCTTCCCAAGAAGAGCTGTTTGGGAAGTGACTATTTGTGGAGACCATGCATGTCTGAAAGTACTTTTATTATATGTTCACCCTTGATTTATGGTGGGCAGGTCAATCTTCTTCTTTATTATCAGCTTAGTGGCACTTGTTAGACCCATGCATTTTGGTCTTTGTCCAAAAGTTGAAGAATAGTTGTGTATTTAACCCTACACATGGGGCAGGATCCTCCAGCTCACTTGTGAGAGGACTCCTGGAGACATAAATACCTGATGCTGCGTGTGTGACATACAATCTACAGCAAGATAAGGCAAAGATAATTAATACCCTCCTCATCTGCCATCATGTTTTAACTTAGCAAACACTTGCAGAGTACCTGTACTCTGTGCCATGTACTGTGATCAATGCTGGGACGTGTTTAGGATTGAGATGATTAATTAATATATATTTATTTTGACAGGTTCACATGGAGCCCTCAGGCCATATGGCAACATTAAGACTTTTCTGTCAAGCTGCTCTCTTCAACTAGGTCAGTTTCCCTCACTTCAGTCAGCAGAAGCCAAACTCAATAGATAAGCCTGCCAGGAAAAGGACATAACAATGAACACCAGCCTCTTGCAGGTGTCACTCAGCACACAGTACAGAAGACCTATTGTCTAGAGTTGAGGGGCTCCGAGGGGTCAGGCGAAGCTCAGCCTCAGCTTCTCAGACAGTGAATGTGCCAGAAACTCTGTGCTCTGCTCCAGGCGAAGTCCATGGAGCTTCTGGCAAATGGCCCATTCCTCCTAAGTGAGCCCAAGTGGAGGGGATCTCAGAGCAGGAGAACAGGATGAAAGATAGCAAGAACAATGACAATAATAATAGTTGTTTTTATTGTTGCTACTGAAGCCAGAAGAGATATCCCACTTTATCTTATTATTGATTTATTTATTTATTTATTTGTTAAATTTTTTTGAGACAGAGTCTCGCTCTGTCACCCAAGCTGAAGTGCAGTGGCGATTATAGCTCACTGCAGCCTCAGCCTCCTGGGCTCAAATGATCTTTTGACCTCCTCAGTAGCTGGGACTACAGGTGCATGCCACCATGCCTGGTTAATTTTTGTATTGTTAGTAGAGACTTGTCATGTTGCCCATTCTGGTCTCAAACTCCTGTGCTCAAGCGATCCACGCACCTCAGCCTCTCCAAGTGCTAAGATTACAGGTGTGAGCCTGGTCAGAGAAATATCACTTTAATGTGATTAATTGGAACACTAGCACTGTGCTAGGGACTCAGCAACATTAAGACATAACACTCACTTCTGCTTTGGTTCCCACAGATGTTTTTCATTAGCAGTAAGTGAAATTTCAAGAAAGGAATCGAACAAAAGGTAAAGATTACTGCAGTAAAAAATGCAGAAAAAAATCTTTTCTGACCCTGCCACACTACTGCTAGAATTTATCCCAAGGACATAATGAAAGATGTGAGATGTTACTGCTAGAAATTATGAAGTAATGAAAGGTCTGAGAAAAGATATAGTCTTAAAGATATTTGCTGAAATGTTTCTATAAAATTAAAACATGAAATAGTTTAAATATCCTTCTCATTAAAAATTTGGGTAGTATCCTCATTCAATAGAAGACAGTCTATTTTAATGACTATGTAGTCATTAAAAATATATTCTAGAAATGTATTTATTGATGTAGAAAGACATATGTACAAATACATATATGTGTATACACATATTTTGAAAAATATCTGATAGCAAAAATACCAACATAATATATTACATATTATTTTTATACATATACCTATACATCTTCAGAAAAAGATATGAGGCTGGGTGCAGTGGCTTATGCCAGTAAACCCAGCATTTTGGGAGGCCAAGATGGGCAGATCACTTGAGGTCAAGAATTCAAGACCAGCCTGGCCAACATGGCAAAAACCATGTCTCTACTAAAAATACAAAAATTACACAGGTGTGGTAGCACATGCCTGTAATCTCAGCTACTAGAGAGGCTGAGAGAGGCAGGACAATTGCTTGAACCCAGGGGGCGGAGGTTGCAGTGAGCCGAGATTGTGCCACTGCACTCCAGCCTGGGTGACAGAGCAAGGCTCTGTCTCAAAAAAAAAAAGAAAGATATGATAGGAAAACATCAGAACAGTTAAAAGAGGTTATCTCTGGGTTGGTGGAGTAATTGTCAGGTTTTTTTTTTCTTTTTTCTTGCTTATCTATATTATCCATGATAATCTGACTTTACTTTTGTAAGAAAAAAAAGAGGTATTTTAACTATCTAGGATAAAGAAGAAAGGAAGGGCTTCAGCAAGCCAAGGACAAACCTTGAAGGTGGCTCTCCAAGGTGTATGGAGAAACTATGTGTGTGTATATATATACACACACACACACATATATACACACACATATGTATATGTATACACTGTTATGTGTATATATGTATATATACACATATATGTACATATGTATACATGTATATACATATATATGTATATATACACATACATATGTATATATACACATACATATATACATATATATGCATATACATATGTGTGTGTGTGTGTGTGTGTATATATATATATATATAATATATATAAAATGTTGGCTTAAACAACAGAAATTTGTAGTTTCATGGGCCTAGAGGCTAAAAGTTCAAGATCAAGGCTTCCTTCTAAGGTGTGAGGATGAATCTGCTCCATGCCTCTCTCCTAGCTTCTGGTGCTTGGCTGCCAGTCTTTAGCGTTCCTTGGCTTGTAGGTGTATCTCCTCGACTTCTGCCTTCGTGTTAACACAGTATTCTTCTCATGTGCATGTCCATTTCTGGGTCCAAATTTCCTCTGTCTACTGCTTCCACATCAAAGCAAAACCTCTTCTCAATGGAGTCTGTTTTCTTCCGTGTGCAGGATTTGAGGGTAACTGATTCACAGTCTCCCTATTTCCTCCTGACTTTTGGTCAAATGGTACCATGGTGATTTGTTTGGAATCCCATTTATATATACATACAGTAGTGCTTCACCCAAGAAGTTCCAAAGTGATGTTTCTCCTGCACATAGAGGTATCCCTCCATGGTGTAGGAACTGATGGTCTTGTGCTCAAGGGGATTTTCCTTCATCTTTTTCATCAGTGATTCCTGGCCTGTGGCTTCCGACTTTTTGGAGCACGGACTTGAGTAGACCTGGCTTCAGATGGCTAAGAGATTAAGTTTTGGCTGCAGCTATAAGGGTCTAGGCTGCCCACATAAGGTTGGTGTGTCAGGGCTTGGCTTTTGCTGTTGCAAGAAGCATCCAAGCATCAAACTTGGAGGTAATAGAGAGGTCATCTCCCATCAGCAACCTTTACAAAGATGCTGATCTGGTAGATGAAACTCTTTCTTAGTGCAGATTATAAAAACCTTGCCAATAGTCCTTAACTGTATTTCATCTGCCTTCCAGTTAGCTTATAGGTTAGATGAAACCATACTCATGGCTGTGCAATGTGGTGCTATCAGAGTGCTAGCCTTCCACTTGTAACACAGTTTGAAGTCAGGTAGCGTGATGCCTCCAGCTTTGTTCTTTTGGCTTAGGATTGTCTTGGCTACACGGGCTCTTTTGTGGTTCCATATGAAATTTAAACTAGTTTTTCTAATTCTGTGAAGAAAGTCAATGGTAGCTTGATGGGAATACCATTGAATCTATAAATTACCTTGGGCGGTATGGCCATTTTCATGATATTGATTCTTTCTATCCATGAGCATTGAATGTTTTTCCATTTGTTTGTGTCGTCTCTTATTTCCTTGAGCAGTGGTTTGTAGTTCTCCTTGAAGAGGTCCTTCATATCCCTTGTAAGTTGTATTCCTAGGTACTTTATTCTCTTGGTGGCAATTGTGAATGGGAGTTCACTCCTGATTTGGCTCTCTGTTTTTCTATTATTGATGTATAGGAATGCTTGTGATTTTCCATGTTGATTTTGTATCCTGAGACTTTGCTGAAGTTACTTATCAGTTTAAGGAGTTTTGGAGCTGAGATGATGGGGTTTTCTAAATATACAATCATGTCACCTGCAAACAGGGATAATTTGACTTCCTCTCTTTCTATTTGAATACACTTTATTTCTTTCTCTTGCCTGATTTCCCTAGCCAGAACTTCCAATACTATGTTGAATAGGAGTGGTGAGAGAAGGCATCCTTGTCTTGTGCCGGTTTTCAAAGGGAATGCTTCCAGCTTTTGCCCATTCAGTATGATATTGGCTATGGGTTTGTCATAAATAGCTCTTATTATTTTGAGATATGTTCCATCAATACCTAGTTTATTGTTTTTAGCATGAAGGGGTGTTGAAGTTTATCAGAGGCATTTTCTTCATCTATGGAGATAATCATGTGGTTTTTGTCATTGGTTCTGTTTATGTGCTGCATTACATTTATTAAATTGCCTATGTTGAACCAGTCTTGCATCCCAGGGATGAAGCCAACTTGATCATGGTGGATAAGCTTTTTAGTGTACTGCTGGATTCGGTTTGCCAGTATTTTTTTGAGGATTTTTGCATTGATGTTCATCATGGTTACTGGCCTGAAAATTTCTTTTTTTGTTGTGTCTCTGCCAGGCTTTGGTATCAGGATGATGCTGGCCTTATAAAATGAGTTAGGGAGGAGTCCCTCTTTTTCTATTGTTTGGATTAGTTTTAGAAGGAATGGTACCAGCTCCTCTTTTTACCTCTGGTAGAATTCGGCTGAGAATCCATCTGGTCCTGGGCTATTTTTGGTTGGTAGGCTGTTAATTACTGCCTCAATTTCAGAACCTGGTATTGGTCTATTGAGGGATTTGACTTCTTCCTGGTTTAGTCTTGGGAGGGTGTATGTGTCGAGGAATTTATCCATTTCTTCTAGATTTTCTAGTTTATTTGCATAGAGGTGTTTACAGTATTCTCTGATGGTAGTTTGTATTTCTGTGGGATCAGTGGTGATATCCCCTTTATCATTTTTTATTGTCTCTATTTGATTCTTCTCCCTTTTCTTCTTTATTAGTCTGGCTAGCAGTCTTTCTATTTTGCTAATCTTTTCAAAAAACCAGCTCCTGGATTCATTGATTTTTTTGAAGGGTTTTTCGTGTCTCTATCTCCTTCAGTTTTGCTCTAATCTTATTTATTTCTTGTCTTCTGCTAGCTTTTGAATTTGTTTGCTCTTGCTTTTCTAGTTCTTTTAATTTTGATGTTAGGGTGTCTATTTTAGATCTTTCCTGCTTTCTGATGTGGGCATTTACTGCTATAAATTTCCTTCTAAACACTGCTTTAGCTGTGTCCCAGAGATTCTGGTACATTATGTCTTTGTTCTCATTGGTTTCAAAGAACTTATTAATTTCTGCCTTAATTTCATTATTTACCCAGTAGTCATTCAGGGGCAGATTGCTCAGTTTCCATGTAGTTGTGCAGTTTTGAATGAGTTTCTTAATGCTGAGTTCCAATTTGATTGTGCTGTGTTCTGAGAGACTGTTTGTTATGATTTCTGTTCTTTTGTATTTGCTTAGAAGTATTTTACTTCCAATTATATGGTCAATTTTATAATAAGTGTGATGTGGTGCTGAGAAGAATGTATATTCTGTTGATTTGGGCTGTAGAGTTCTGTAGATGTCTATTAGGTCTGCTTGGTCCAGAGCTGAGTTCAAGTCCTGAATATCCTTGTCAATTTTCTGTCTCATTGATCTGTCTAATATTGACAGTAGGGTGTTAAAGTCTCCCACTATTATTGTGTGGGAGTCTAAGTCTTTTTGTAGGTCTCTAAGAACTTGCTTTATAAATCTGGGTGCTCCTGTATTGGGTGCATATATATTTAGGATAGTTAGTTCTTCTTGTTGCATTGATCCCTTTACCATTGTGTAATGTCTTCTTTGTCTTTTTTGATCATTGTTTGTTTAAAGTCTGTTTTATCAGAGACTAGGATTGCATCCTCTGCTTTTTTTACTTTCCATTTGCTTGGTAAATATCCCTCCATCCCTTTATTTTGAGCCTATGTGTGTCTTTGCACATGAGATGGGTTTCCTGAATACAGCACACTGATGGGTCTTGACTCTTTATCTGATTTGCCAGTCTGTGTCTTTTAATTGAGGCATTTACTCCATTTACATTTAAGGTTAATATTGCTATGTGTGAATTTGATACTGTCATTATGATGCTAGCTGGTTATTTTGCCCATTAGTTGATGCAGTTTCTTCACAGCGTCAATGGTCTTTACATTTTGGTATGTTTTTGCAGTGGCTGGTACTGGTTTTTCCTTTCCATATTTAGTGCTTCCTTCAGTAGCTCTTGTAAGGCAGGCCTGGTGGTGACAAAATCCCTCAGCATTTGCTTTTCTGTAAAGGATTTTATTTCTCCTTCACTTATGAAGCTTAGATTGGCTGGATATGAAATCCTGGGTTGAAAATTCTTTTCTTTAAGAATGTTGAATATTGGCACCCACTCTTTTCTGGCTTGTAGGGTGTCTGCAGAGAGATCCGCTGTTACCCTGATGGGCTTCCCTTTCTCTCTGGCTGCCCTTAACATTTTTTCCTTCATTTCAACCTTGGTAAATCTGATGATTATGTGTCTTGGGGTTGCTATTCTTGAGGAGTATCTTTGTGGTGTTCTCTGTATTTCCTGAATTTGAATGTTGGCCTGTCTTGCTAGGTTGGGGAAGCTCTCCTGGATAATATCCTGAAGTGTGTTTTCCAACTTGGTTCCATTCTCCCCATCACTTTCAGGTACACCAGTCAAACGTAGGTTTGGTCTTTCCACATAGTCCCATATTTCTTGGAGGCTTTGTTAGTTCCTTTTCATTCTTTTTTCTCTAATGTCATCTTCATGCTTTATTTCATTAAGTTGATCTTCAATCTCTGATATCCTTTCTTCTGCCTGATCAATTTGGCTACTGATACTTGTGTAGGCTTCACGAAGTTCTCGAACTGTATTTTTCAGCTCCATCAGGTCATTTATGTTCTTCTCTAAACTGGTTAATCTAGTTAGCAGTTCCTGTAACCTTTTATCAAGTTTCTTAGCTTCATTGCATTGGGTTAGAACATGCTCCTTTAGCTTGGAGGAGTTTGTTGTTACTCACCTTCTGAAGCCTACTTCTGTCAATTCATCAAACTCATTATCCATCCAGTTTTGTTCCCTTGCTGGTGAGGAGTTATGATCCTTTGGAGGAGAAGAGGCACTCTGGTTTTTGGAATTTTTAGCCTTTTTGTGCTGTTTTTTCCTCATCTTCATGGATTTATCTACCTTTGGTCTTTGATGTTGGTGACCTTCAGATGGGGTTTTTGCATGGTCATCCTTTTTGTTGATGTTGACATTATTGCTTTCTGTTTGTTAGTTTTCCTCCTAACAGTCAGGCCCCTCTACTGCAGGTCTGCTGGAGTTTGCTGGAGGTCCACTCCAGACTGTTTGCCTGGGTATCACCAGCGGAGGCTGTAGAACAGCAAATATTGCTGCCTGATCCTTCCTCTGGAAGCTTTGTCCCAGAGGCACATCTGCCAGATGCCAGTGTATATGAGGTGACTGTTGACCCAGTGACTTGAGGAGGCAGTCTGTCCCTTAGCAAAGCTCGAGCACTGTGCTAGGAGATCTGCTGCTCTCTTCAGAGCTGGCAGGCAGGAAGGTTTAAGCCTGTTGAAGCTGTGCCCACAACCACCCCTTCTCCCAGGTGCTCTGTCCCAGGGAGGTGGAAGTTTTATCTATAAGCCCATGACTGGGGCTGCTGCCTTTCGTTCGGAGATGCCTTGCCCAGAGAGGAGGAATCTAGAGAGCAGGCCAGGCTACAGCAGCTTTGCGGTGCTGCAGTGGGCTCCACCCAGTCTGAACTTTGTTTACAAACAATGGCTTTGTTTATTTACACTGTGAGGGGAAAACCACCTACTCAAGCCTTAGTAACGGTGGATGCCCCTCCCCCCACCAAGCTCCAGCTTCCCAGGTTGACCTCAGACTGCTGCGCTGGCAGCAAGAATTTCAAGCCAGTGGATCTTAGCTTGTTGGGCTCCATGGGGGTGGGATCCACTGAGCAAGATCACTCGGCTTCCTGGCTTCAGCCCCCTTGACAGGGGAGTGAACAGTTCTGTCTCTCTGGTGCTCCATGTGCCACTAGGGTACGAAAAAAAAAAAAAAAACTCCTGCAGCTAGCTGGGTGTCTGCCCAAACGACTGTCCAGTTTTGTGCTTGAAATCCAGGGTCCTGGTGGTGTAGGTATCCAAGGGAATCTCCTGGTCTGCAGATTGCAAAGACTGTGGGAAAAGCATAGTATCTGGGCCAGAATGCACAGTTCCTCGCAGCACAGTCCCTCATGACTTCCCCTGGCTAGGGGAGGGAGTTCTCCAACCCCTTCTGCTTCCCAGGTGAGGCAACAACCCACCCTGCTTCTGCTCACCCTCTGTGGGCTGCACCCACTGTCTAACCAGTCCCAATGAGATGAACTGGGTACCCCAATTAGAAATGCAGAAATCACCCACCTTCTGCATTGGTCTCACTGGGAGCTGCAGACCAGAGCTATTCCTATTTGGCCATCTTGCCTGGGAATCCAGGCTTTTTTATATATGTTGTTTCCCAATCCCTGTGACTCTTCAGGCTAGATGTTATCTCTGTTTTTCAAAAGAGGAAACTGAGCTCAACAATTTGCCCATCACCTCATGTGAAGGAGCAGAGCTGGGATTGGCATCAGGTCTGCATCACTCCAGAGCTCATGTTTCATCTTGTACACAGGGCTGCTTTCAACCCCTCCAGTCCTTCTGTCTATAGCTCACATTCTAGCATCAACTAGATATCTACTGTTTACTGCCTTGTGGACTCTATTGTCTTTGGCTGTGTTGGGCTGTGTCCCTCTTCTTCCAAATCTCACTGAGTGCCCAGCAATGCACTGGACCAATGTGGATGAGTGAAACTGAAGTTCAGAACTAGTGAAATCATTTTAAGGTAAAATTGTAGCTTTTCCCCATCTTCCACCTTGCCCTCCAACCCTACCCCATCATCTTGTATTAGCTTCGCACTGGGAGTTGAGTTCCTAAATTTTCA
Source organism: Homo sapiens (assembly GCF_000001405.40). Classification (NCBI taxonomy): domain Eukaryota; kingdom Metazoa; phylum Chordata; class Mammalia; order Primates; family Hominidae; genus Homo; species Homo sapiens. The sequence goes on along the minus strand of NC_000011.10, from coordinate 34,737,032 downwards.
TGGTAAAATTCAAAATTCTTCCAAAGTTTGGGGTTATTCTTTAGGCAGTAGTGGTGGAGGGCACCCAAGATCTCCTCTGGTTGTTTCCTTACCTGCCTATCCTGTCTTTTTACCCATTTCTTCCCACCCCAGTCTTTGAGTCCAGTCATCCAGGCCTGCCTCTCGTTCTTGAATGTTCCAACTCCAAGGCTTTTTCCCCATCATGTCTCCTGCCTGGATTATTACAGTGCCTCCTCTGTGTCAAACACTTAATAAATGGCTGTTGTGTAAGTTATCAAATGGTGAATGAATGAATAAACACCTTCCACTTCAACTAGTTAAGTCCTGCCCTGCCTCTGAGGCTGAGCTTGGTCACATGTCTTTGTGAAGTCTTTCTTCCATCACTCCAGCCCATATGTGTTAAGTGTTCTTCATCTGGAATGCTTAGCACACATGCAATCCACAGTGCTGGTTGATCACTCAACATGCACCATCTTGTATGTTTAAGGTGTTTTGTGCACATGCCCTGCTCTATGGAGGTAAGAGATGTGTTTTTTGCTGACTTTGTAGACAGAGAGTTCCAGATTTGAGTTCCAATTCCATCGCTTGCCAGCTGAGTGAATTTGAAGAGGTTGCTTAACCTCTCTGAAGCTCAGTTTCTTTATCTGTTAAAAAGGGACACTGCCTGCCTTATCACTTGCTTTGTAGGCTAAGTGGCTTTTCTTTTGAGGGTCAATGAGTCAAATTACAAAATAATGTGTAGAGTATCATCCCAATTTCATAAAAAGAAGCATTTATTTTCTCAGACTTACATACCTACAGGTTTGTTTGTGTGTTAGTGTAGATAAAGTCTGAAAGGACACATTCTAAACATCAACACTTATATTCAATCCCAACCTTTCTCTTCTATATAGTAGTTACTTGTGTATATGCCTGATTTCTCTTCCCCAAAATTGTAAGAACCTGAGTCAGAAACTGACTTTATCAGTCAGGGTGGGCTAAATCATGCAGTGGTAACCACCTCAAAATCTGAGCTATCGAAACAAAAAGATTATTTCTCACTTTCAATACATGTCCACTGTGAGCCAGCCAACAGATTCCACACACCACAATCAGTAAAGATGCAAGCTGCCAGACCCCACACCATCTAAAACGTTGCCAGGTAGCATGCTGCAGAGAAAGGAGAGAAGGATAAAGCATTTGTTCTCAGCTCTTGGCCAAAGCAAGTCACATGGCCACACTGAACTTTGAGAAGGCAGAAACATACAATCTTCTTCTTATGTGCCTAGGAGGAGTGAAACCCCAGACTTCTGTGAAGTGCTTAACAGACTACCCCACTGACTTGACTTTGTTTCTCTACACCCAAGATGATGCTGTGCACGTAGTGGTCACTCAGGTAATATAGATGATGTAAGGCAATGCAACAAAATCCAGGTGCTACTTGAGGTTCTGAAGAAAAATATATAAAAATAACTAAGACTTAAGTCCAATAAAAAGTGAGGGAGAGAAATATATGCATACTCAAGCAATCACAGTAGTAGACTGGCACCAATGCTTTAGTATTATAAAATAAACCCAGTGAAAGTATATTACTTTTCTATTGCTGCTGTAACAAATCACCATAAACTTAGTGGTTTAAAACAACACAAATTGATTATTTTACAGCCTTGTAGGTCAGAATTCTAACACAGATCTCAACAAACTAAAAACACAACTGTTGACATGCTGCATTGCTTTCTGAAGGCTCTACAATCTGCTTATTAGATTGTTGGCAGAATTCAGTTCCTTGTGGTTGTGTGACTGAGGTCCCATTTTTTTGCTGGATTTAGCTGAGAACTGTTCCTAGTTTCTGGAAGCCACCACATTCCTTCACTCATGACCCCCTTCCTCCATCTTCAAAGCCAGCAATGGTGGGTCAAGTCCTTCTCATGTCACATGTCTCTGACCCACTCTTCTGCCTTTCTCTTTTACTTTTTTTTGGACAGAGTCTCCCTCTGTTGTCCAGGCTGGAGTGCAGTGGCACAATCTCAGCTCACTGCAACCTCCACCTCCCAGGTTCAAGCGATTTTCCTGCCTCAGCCTCCTGAGTAGCTGAGATTACAGGTGCACATCACCAGGCCTGGCTAATTTTTGTATTTTTAGTAGAGACAGGGTTTCACCATGTTGGTCAGGCTTATCTCAAACTCCTGAGCCACCATGCCCGACCCTCTTTCACTTTTAAAGATTTGGTGATTAAATTGGGACCACCTGGATAACCTGGGCTAATCTCCCCATCTCTAGGGCCTTAATCTTAACAATATCTGCAAAGTCCCTTTCGCCATGTAAGGTACCATATTCACAGGTTCCAGGGATTAGGGCATGGATATCTTTGGGGGAAGGGCATCATTATTCTTCCTACCACTGTTTAAAAAAAAAATATATATATAATATGTATACACACACACTATATATGCATGTATACATTATATATACATATATAAATTTTACTTATTTATTCACACTTCACTGAGATTGAGCCAAGGAGGGAAAGAGTCATTCCAAATGGGAAGACCAGGGAAGACTTCAGCTGGGCTTGAAGGATGTGTAAATTCCAACAGGCAGAGATGGGGGAATGGGCTGTTGAGGGGACTCCAGGCTGAGGGCTGAGCATGCAGAAAGAGGATGGGAAGTCCCTGCCAGGTGTGCCCATGGCAAGGGGAGTGCAGCCCTGGGACATGGGAGAGGACAGGACAGGAAGCAGAGGCAGGTTTGACTGGGCAAGTTTGGTGAGGCAGCATGTCGCTGGAGAGAGGAAGGAGCATGGGGGCTGTAGAGTCAGACCTGGGTCTGAGTCTCAGCTCTGCCACTTGGCTGTGTAACCATGGGCTTACTTTACTTAACCTCTGTAAATCTCAGTTGCCTCCACTGTGAAGTGAAGCTGCTAGCAATAGCACCTATATCTTAGGGTTGTTGGGAGACTTGACTGAGACAATTTAAAGTGCTTAAAATTTAATGAAGGATGCTATTATTGGTATTACCAGCCAAGTCCTTGGACCACGATTGGGTCACCTGCCCTGAGGGGACAGAATCTGGGAGAACCAAACAGGCGGGCTGCGGGCGAACTCTGCCAGCCTCCTCTTCTTACCTCCCATGCCAACTTCACGGATTTTGTGAGTTTCCCACATCCACAGACCTTTATGGTACCATGCAGGGAGAGCCTTGCTCCCTCCATCCACTGGCAACTTGGCCTGGAATGGTGCTTAACCATGAATGACAAAGGGACAGTACCAAGACCAGTCCTCAAATAAAATCACATTCCCAAGTCCTGAAAGAGGGTTTGGGCACCTCTTCTTTCCCCAGATGTTTTTGCCAATTTTTCTTTTTTTTTTTTTTTTTTGAGACAGAGTCTTGCTCTGTCACCCAGGCTGGAGTGCAGTGGCGTGATCTTAGCTCACTGCAAGCTCCGCCTCCCAGGTTCACGCCATTCTCCTGCCTCAGCCTCACGAGTAGCTGGGACTACAGGTGCCTGCCACCATGCTTGGCTAATTTTGTGTATTTTTCACAGAGACGGGGTTTCACCATGTTAGCCAGGATGGTCTCGCTCTCCTAATATCGTGATCCACCCGCCTCGGCTTCCCAAAGTGCTGGGATTACAAGCGTGAGCCACTGCACCCAGCCTCACATTTTTTTTTTTAAATGATGCAAGGCAGTCTTCACTTTTCAATCTACAAGTTTTGGGCCCTAAATACAGAAATGTATGTTGCACATAATTGAATTGGGGTCAAGTGTTCAGAACGCATCTTCAGAGAATTGCAGGAAGGGCACAAATGTGTGTGTGTGTGTGTATGTGTGTGTAAATAAAGCAAAAGCAAATATCCTTGCAGAATTATTGATTTTTATACAATTTGTAATTATAAGCTGAAAAGCATATGAAAAAGGAAAAACACATGTGTCAGATTTAACCAGCAAGTATCCATTTTCTTTGAAGAGCTACAGACCTAGCATAATCCCTGCTAAGTCAACAGAACAGGTCGTGGAGCTTTAACTGCTTCATACAAGGCAGGTGGCAGGCAAGAGCAATACCTTTATTCTCACCACCCACCCACTCCACCTCCACTGTAGTTTCTTTCATACTACCAAAATAACAAGTAGTTACTTTAGAAAGTACAGACTACTAAATAGGAAAAAAGTAAGGTTTGTATACAGACCCACCTCCCAAATAAAAGTGCAATTAATATTTTATAATGTCTATTTCATTTTATCTCCATACAAATACATTTCAATCTAACCCAAATAGAATTACTTTGCACATACTATCTTGAGAAAATGAATATTTATTAAACACCTGTTATGTCACCTCCCTGAACCCCAGTTTCTTGCTCTGTATCTCACATGGTATTTGTAAACCAGTAATAGAAATGTAAGCTAGCAGATAGTAAATATTCAATACATGTTAACAATTATCATTATCATAAACAAGAATCATAATTATTTTTATCTTGCTTAATTATCACAAAAACTCTGCCAAATTACAACAGACTGAGGCTCAGAGAATTGCCATGTTGATCTACATAACTTTTAAGGGGTGAATTCAGGATGTGGAAAGATGAACAAAAAGAGAAAGCCCATTTTTCATAGATGTTACCTTGAGAATCTTCAAGTCCTTCAACTCCAGTTACTGACAAAATCCAGGATAAGACAGTTTGCTTCAGAATTGTCTCAGTGCATCAGCTAAAATGATTTGTAGCCAATTGGTTCCATCCTTAAAGTTCCATCCTTTGAAGAAGGAGCTGCAAGAAAACCACTATTCAAGATGGCTTTCCAAGATCCTAGGCTCCCCCAGTCCTGCCTGGCCCTCTTGATTTCCAATCCCAATCAATTCCTTTTTAATAATCATAGTTCAAGCACAAATAAGAAGTAATCCAGGTTACTGCTAAACCTTGTAAAGGTTTTGGGATTAGCCATTGCATCCCTGTGCCTCCTTAACCTCTCATGAGAACACATAATTGAGAACTTAAAGCTCAGCTGTCGTTGTCTTCCATCTGCACTTTATTGGTCTTTATTCATTCGGTTCCTCAAGCCATCAAGCTAGAGTGGATTAGGCAGGATTCATCCCTCAGGTGGTCACCTTTGCTGCTTTGCCTCACACGCAGGCACACACAGGCACATGCGCATATGTACACACACATACCACACCACACACACACACACACACACACACATATACACATACATGCATTCAGCTTTCATGAGTCATAAGTTTGAGCATCCCAAAATCCGGCACCCTATGCTGGGCTGGCCCAGATCACACCAGGGCAAATGTTGTTTGGCACACAGTTTAGTTGTCTAAGGGAATGTGGATTCAGGTGGAATTAATTAAGAGAGAACTAACTTCCAGCTCTTTATTAGTGTGTTGCACCTGCATCCTAGTGGCCAGCTCCTCTCCAGTCCCTAGAGAGGGAACTAATGACTAAGCCAGGGCAAGACAAGGGGTTTAGGGACAGAGTCAGCAAGACACTCAAGCTACATGGCCAGGGTGGTGTGAGGAACTTCTCCCTGAAAGGCCCCATTGCTAAAATAGCTTGTCTAGTGATAGTGACAAATGCCTGGAATTCTACCATTAGAAATTCATCCCCATGGATTAAAGTTTTGGAGCTGCAGAAGACCCTCTGTTAAAACGCACATACCTCTGGGGAAATGAATGCAGTCATGTTAATCAGTAATGCATTAATATAAACTATTGTATTAGATTACCTCCTGTTATTTAACATGGTCCTTAGGGATCCAGGACACATAAGTTTGGGTGAGAGGCTTAATCAAAGGAACGTGGAATGCCAAGGAAGGCAGTATGAGAGCACTGGGCTCTGGGAAGGAAGGGGCAGAGGACATGTCTGACTTTACATCTTGGTTACCACTGGCCAGTGGCCTGACTGGGCTGCAGCTACTGCTGGATGAACTTAGGCAGATCCCAGGCCTGTCTCAGTGACTCAGCCACACCCTGAAGGTAATCAAGGTGACCTACATCTACAGGCAGCTGGTGGAGGATTAATTAATGACTGAAAGGGAGCCTGAAAACACCAGGTCCATTGACACGCAAGGCATGATTATTAAGTCATTAGGAGGACTGGCTAATTATCATTTCTAAAGTTGCTGTGAGTTTGTCATAGATGGCTCTTATTATTTTGAGGTATGTTCCTTCAATGCTTAGTCTGTTGGGGTTTTTTTTTTTATCATGAAGGGATGTTGGATGTTATCAAAAGCTGTTTCCGCCTCTTTTGAGATGACAAATGGTTTTTGCTTTTGATTCTGTTTATGTGGTGAATCACATTTATTGACTTGTGTATGTTGAATCAGGCTTGCATCCCAGGAATAAAGCCTACTTGATTGTGGTATATTAGTTGTTTGATGTGCTGTGGATTCAATTTGCTAGTATTTTGTTGAGGATTTTTGCATCAATGTTCATCAGGGATATTGGTCTGAAGTTTTCTGTTTTTGTTGTGTCTCTGCCAGCTTTTAGTATCAAGCTGATGCTGGCTTCATGGAAAAAGATACGGAGGAGCCCCTCTTTCTTGATTTTTGGAATAGTTTCAGTAGGATTAGTATCAGTTCTTCTTTGAATGTCTGGTAGAATTTGGCTGTGAATCCATCTGGTCTAGGGCTTTGCTTTGGTTGGTAGGTTCTTTATTACTGATTCAATTTCAGAACTTGTCTTTGGTCTTTTCAAGGTTTCAATCTCTGATTCAATCTTAGAAGACTGTGTGCTTCCAGAATGTTTCCATTTCTTCTGGATACTCTAATTTGTGTGTGTAGGGTTGTTCATAATAGTCTCTGAGGATCTTTTGTATTTCTGTGGGATCAATTGTAATATCACCTTTGTTGTTTCTGATTGTGCTTATTTGGATCTTCTCTCTTTCTTTTTCTTTGATAGCTAGGGTCCATCTATGATAAACTCACAGCCAACATCATACTGAATGGGCAAAAGCTTGAATCATTCCCCTTAAGAACTGGAACAAGACAAGGATACCCACTCTCACCACTCCTATTCAACATAGTACTAGAAGTCCTAGACAGAGCAGTCATGCAAGAAAAAGAAATAAAAGGCATCCAAATAGGAAACCAAGAAGCCAAACAATTTCTCTTTACTGACAATTATGATTCTATGCCTAGAAAATCCTAAAGACTCTGCCAAAAGACTCCTAGAATTGAAAAACCACTTTAATACAGTTTCAAGATACAAAATCAATGCACAAAAATCAGTAGCATTTCTATACACCAACAGCATCCAGGGTGCACGTGGAATAAAAAACACAATCCTACTCAAAATAGCCACAAAGAAAATGAAATTATCTAGGAATACAGCTAACCAAAGAGGTGAAAGACCTGTACAAAGAGAACCACCAAACACTGCTGAAAGAATTCAGAAATGACACAAATGAACAGAAAACATTCCATGCTCATGGATTGAAAGAATCAATGTCATTTGAAATGTCCATACTGCACGAAGTAATTTAAAGATTCAATGCTATTCCTATCAAACTACCAATGTCATTCTTCATAGGATTAGAAAAACTGTTCTAAAATTAATATGGGACCAAAAACAGCTCAAATAGCCAAAGCAATCCTAAGCAAAAGGAACAAAGTCTCACATTACCTGACTTCAAGTTATGCTATAAAGCCACAGTAACCAAAACAGCTTTGTATTGGTACAAAAACACATAATGGAACAGAATAGAAAACTCAGAAATAAAGCTGCACATCTACAACTATCTGATCTTTGACAAGGTCAACAAAAACAAGCAATGGAAAAGGATACACAATTCAACAAATGGTGCTAGGATAACTGGCTAGCCATATACAGAAGAATGAAGTTGGACTCCCACCTTTCACCATATACAAAAACTAATTCAAAATAAATGAAAAAAATTTAATGTAAGACCTCAAGCTATAAAAATCCTGGAAGACAACCTAGTAAATACTCTTCTCAACATCAACCTTGGCAAATAATTTTTGACTAAGTCCCCAAAAGCAATTGCAACAAAAACAAACACAGACAGTGGGGCCTAATTAAACTGAAGAGCTTCTGCAGAGCAAAAGAAACTACTGACAGAGCAAACAGACAATCCCTACAGAATGGGAGAAGGTATTCACAAACTGCATCTGATAAAGACCTAATATCCATGATCTGTAAGGAACTTAAGCAAATCAGCAAGCAAAAACCAAATAACCCCATTAAAAAATGGGCAAAGGACATGAACAGACACTTCTCAAAAGAAGACACACAACTGGCAAAAAAATGAAAAAATCCTCATTATCACTTATTATCAGAGAAATGCAACTCAAAACCACAATGAGATAGCATCTCACACCAGTCAGAATGGTGATTATTGAAAAGTCAAAAAATAACAGTTGCTGGTGAGGCTGCAAAGAAAAGAGAACACTTACACACTTTTGTTGGGAATGTAAATCAGTCCAGCCACTGAAAAAAGCAGTCTAGAGATTTCTCAAATAACTTAAAACCAAGCTACAAGTCAACCTAGCAATCCCATTATTGGATATGTACCCAAAAGAAAATAAATCATTCTCCCAAAAGACACATGCACTCATAAGTTCATCTCTGCACTATTCACAATACCAAAGACATGGAATCAACCCAAGTGCCCATCAATGTTTGACTGGATAAAGAAAATGTGGTACATGTACACCATTGAGTCATAAAAAATGGAGTTATAAAAATACACTATGCAGTTATAAAAAATGAAATCATGCTCTTTGCAACAACATGGATGGAGCTTGAGGCCATAATCTCAAGCAAATTAATGCAGAAACAGAAAAACAAATGCCACATATTCTCACTTATATGTGGGAGCTATACATTGATCACACATGGACTTAAATATGGAAATAATAGGCACTGTGGACCATGAGAGGGTGGAGGGAGAGTGAAAAAAAACTATCAAGTGCTGTGCTCACTACCTGGATGACAGGATCTGCACTCTAAACTTCAGCATCATGCAATATTTCCATTTAGCACATCTGCACATATATCCTTTATAGCTAAAATAAAAGCTGCAAAAATAAAAAATATAGTTGCTGATGGAAAAGGATAACTATCTGTTGCTCTAGATGGGGAAAGCATGGAGAATGGTGAAAAAGGATAGGGAAGGTAGAAGGCACACAGGTCTACCCCTCCCCACTTGCTTTCAGCCTGTGTTGGGAAGCTGGATTTTTCTGCACCCAGAGTAACCAACCTATAGGGCGCTAGTGGCATGTATTGGGTTGTACAAGGAGCAGCAGTTTGTAATTGTTTTTTCTAGGCTGCTAGCTGGCACTACCTGCCAATTTGACCACCTAAGAAATGGGAACACCAAACACTAAAGAGAAGAACTGGTCTGTGATGACTCCACACATTTTCTTGGGTGGTCCACATGATAGGTGTGCCCAAATGTTCTAGAGACTAGATAGGGAGGGAAAACACCAGCAAGGCATGGCTAAACTCAGCCATAGATAGATGTGTGACCTTGTGGGTGATAGTTTCTTAACCTCCTAAACCTCAGTTTCTTCATCTACAAAACTGGGCGTCACAAACCCTATCTCAGGTTTTCCCTCCCAGGATTGATGTAAACATGGACTGAGACAACAGATATGGAAGTTCTTTGTGCAGCATAAAATGCTATTTGAATATTATCTCTATTGTTCCAGATGCCTCTGCTGTGTCATTTAAGGAAGCCTTGTTTGACCCTATGGGTCTTACCCAACAGTCTGCCACAACATCTATGAATTTGAGCATTTGTCAGCATTTTCATTAAAGAATTTTCCCACTTGGAGGTTCATCTTTAAAGTGCCTACATACTAGTCAACACAATAACAAGATAGACGAGTATGAACTGGTTCTTCAGATCAGCCAGTTGTCCAGAAAGTTGCTGAGGATATAGGATTTGGGATGGGTAACTTTCGATGGATAGGATGGAGAGCTCAAGGAAACAGTGCCAAAAAGGTGCAGAAGGAGGAATCCTGTAAAGAGAAGGGTGAAAATAGAAAGAAACATATTGTTGCTATTGATTTTAAGGCTTTCATACAGTTCTTTCTAGAATGGAATTTTTGTGCTTATTTTCTCTCCTAATTCTCATAGCAGCCTGGTGCCTATTCTTTCCTTTTCACATAGACTAAATTGAGATCTGGAGAATTTAAATGACTTGCCCAATGGTACATGGCCCTTAGATCTAATATGTAGTGGAGGCAGGACTCAAATGCAGATCCTGAGTCTCTAAATCCTGTGCCCTTTCCACCACACTCTCGTACCCACACTTCACATTTTACTTGAAGGGAAGAGTCTTTTCTGATTTGAATTTACCCAGCCCCCAAGGCTTTATCTTTCCTTCTTTTGGAGAGTAACTGAAATGTTTGAGATGCTCAGTAGGTAGCTGGCACCTTTCTTCTTCCTTCTTTTCTTAGTGGGTCACTCCAGTATGTTCAACAGAGCAGTAATAATAGCTAGCATTCATAAAGCATTACTATGTGCCAGGTGTTTTGCATATGCTATACCTCATTCTCACAGCAATCTGTAAAATAGGTCTCATATATTCAGTCTACAGAGGCAAAGACCAAGGCTTAGAGAATATAAACAGCTTGCCCAAGGTCATATAGTTGGTAAACAATTGAGCCAGAATTCAAACCCAGTTCTGCCTATCTTTAAAGCTCATGTTAAGAGGCATTGTCATCAATACACAAAAGCTACCAAGTGTTGTCTTTTTCTTTTTTTTAATAGTTATTTACAAATTCTCCTTTACATGAATGTTAAACTGTTATAAGCCACCTTTACTCATAAATAATTTTATTCATGTTTTCTTGGGGCCTATGAGCAAGAGTGTCTCTATATTATATACCTAGAAGTAGAATTTGTGTTTCCTATAGTGAGGAGCATTTTCAACTTTACTAGGTAAAGCGGTACTGATTTACACTATTACCTGTGCACAGGATAGTTTGTATTACTCTACTTCCTAGCCAACACTTGCATTGTGAACATTTTACATTTTTTCCAACTTAGTAGTGTGAAATGGTGTCTCATTGTGGTTTCAATATGCATTCTCCTAACAACTGATAAGGTTAAGTCTCTTTCTATAGGTTATTAGCTATTTGTGTTACCTTCTTAATGAAATGCCTATTCATAGCTCTGGCTGCTTTTCTATTAGGTTTTTAATTTTTTTCTTGATTTGTAGAAGTTCTTCATATATTAGATAATCTGGATACTAATTCTTTGTAGGTTATACATATAGCATATATTTTATCCTGCTTTGTGGCTTGTCCTTCACTCTATAATGCCCTTTGGTGAACAGATTTTATTATAATATGTTGAGTCAATCAACTTTAAAAGGTTTTGTTTACATTGGATTCACCTGGGTAATCCAAGATACTCTCCTCTTCTCTCGATATCCTTAACTTAATCACTTCTGCAAAGTTCCTTTTGCCATGTAAGGTAACATAGTCACAGGTTCTGGGGAACAGAATGTGGACGTTGGCAGTGGGGGGATTATTCTGCCTACCACATGTCACCCTTGACTGAGGACTTGGGAAAGAGGAAGCCTTGTCTTCTTTGCCAAATCACCCAGAATGGTACTGACATCACGATGAGTTGGGGACAGGAAAGAAGCAAGTCACGGCTCTGGTGCTAAGACTTTCACTGTTTTTACTGATATTTAGTAAATTTTCTTAAATAAATGTTGCTTTATTCGCTGTATAACCTCCAGACAATTTCTGAGAGTTTAAATGGATGGTTTTTAAAATAATTTTCTCCAGTTATGGTAGTTTCACTGGAGAGAAGTTCTTCAAATCCCCTCACACTGCATCTCCAGAAGTAGAACCTCTCAAGCAAGTTCCTGAACTTAGTTTTGCTGGGTATGTAAGTGGAGGTTGATATTTACTTCCTGTCAGTGTGCAAAGATATTCCTGTGCTCTGTCTTTCATTATTTCTTTTCAGAAGTTTAATCCTAGTCTAATTGCTTATAGATTACCTGTCTCTATCAATTATCTTCCTGGTTGTTTTTAAGACTTTCCCTTCTTCCTAGGCACTGTGCATTTTACTGCAATGATTTTAGCTATTGATTTTCTTTATATTTACTCTTTGCAATTTGTTGAACTTTCTGAATCTAATTGATGTATTTCTTAAAATGTGGGAGATTCTTAGTGTATGTCTTCTCAATATTGCTTTCTCCTAATCTTTTTAATTTTTTTTGCAACACCAATTAGACATATATTAGCTTCTCTCAGTGTATCACAAACACCATTTTCCCCTTTCAGCCTTCCATGTTCATTAATATTTCTTTTATATTTTCTACGTCTTGATCTCTGTATGCTGCATTTTGGGTAATTTATTCAGATCTATCTTCAAATTAAATAATTAACTCTTCAGCTAGGAGATATTAATTTTTATAAGAATATTGATTTTCATTACTGCATTTTTTATTTCTGGAAGTTCTATTTAATTATTATCCAAATCTGCCTAGTCACATTTTTCATCATATTTTCAATGTACAATTTCTATTCTGTATCTATGAGTCAAGTATTTTCAGCCTTTGTAGGCCTATTTTTCACTTATAGTGGTTTGTTTTCTCATATATATTTTGATTTTACTTATATGATCATTAAAACATTACCTATGGATATTCTTGTGGTTGGTTTTCAATGGCAATCCACTAGAGAGGGTTAGTGTTTGCTCCTGCCAGTAGTTGAAAGAACTAACTCAGGAACAACTAATATTTGGTTTGAGGTGTTTTGTAACAAACAGAGAATATGAATTAGAATCCAAGCCCATAGGAAGACTTACTTGTAGATATGAACCCCTGAGGAAAACAACTTTTCCCTCTATCCAGAGCCAAAGCTAGAAATGCCTCCTTCCTTGCCCCTCTTATTGGGTGTATCTTTTTCTCATAGATGATATTTCACTGAAGGAGCAGCCCTCTCGGGATCCTAATTTTATGTAAGAATCTCTCTCCCTACTTCCACTTTGAGCATTCTTCATCCCTTATCCCTTGTCTTCATTTGTTACAAATGCAGGTGTCAAAAACAAACAAGTAAACAAATATAGGTTATAGATTATTGGAGAAGTTGACAGACTTAGTGCTAACTTCTCTCCACGGTTTTATATTTCAACTTTGCATTTAGCATCTGATATGGTTTTACTGTGTCCCTACCCAAATCTCAACTTGAATTATATCTCCCAGAATTCCCACGTGTTGTGGGAGGGACCCAGGGGGAGGTAATTGAATCATGGGGGCTGGTCTTTCCCATGCTATTCTCCTGACAGTGAATTAAGTCTTATGAGATCTGATGGGTTTATCAGGGATTTCCAATTTTGCTTCTTCCTCATTTTTCTCTTGCCACCACCCTGTAAGAAGTGCGTTTTCCCTCCTGCCATGATTCTGAGGCCTCACCAGCCAGGTGGAACTGTAAGTCCAATTAAGCCTCTTTTTCTTTCCGGTCTAAGGTAGGTCTTTATCAGCAGTGTGAAAACAGACTAATACAGCATCTAAGAGAATCTCTTCTCTTGTAATAGCAGCTAATAGTTGCTTAGAAGAGTTTTATCTTATATTTTATCTGGCACTTATGTTTTTTCTTTTTTCTTCTTGCTTTTTTTTTCCAGAGGATTTTTTTACACTATCTAGTCTTTTATATTGCTGAAAATATAAATCCCCATAATGTCCTTTCCCCTCTTTTCCTTCTTGTAAAACCCCCACTTATCTTTAAATTCCTTGGTGAGATGTTGTCTCTTCTAGGGGACATTCACTGCCCTACTCCCTCCTGAAGCAGAATACATTAGTCCATTGTCTGTGTTCTCACATACTGGGAATGTGGCTTTAATAAAGATCTCTCACATTTTTTATTACAGTTATTTCTTTATCTGTTACCTCCTACTGTTCTGCAAGATCCAGTCAGAGTGTTTTAATTATCATTTTACATTCAGTGTTTAACAAAGTGCCTGGCAGAAAATAAACACATAAGTGGATATTTATTGGAGTTTGTAAAGGAAATGAATAAAACATCATTGTTTGCAAATGAGGTCCAAATTCATTTGAATTTCATTCAGGTACCTCCACATTCTAACTGCAACCCACTCTTTCAGCCTTATCAATCAATTAATGCATTGTTAATTAACATATATGTTATTTATTAACTCATTCATTCATACATTTATTTATTATCCAAAGTTGTTTGTTTTGTTTTTTTTTTTTTTGAGGCGGAGTCTCGCTCTGTCTCCCAGACTGGAGTGCAGTGGCACAATCTCGGCTCACTGCAAGCTCCGCCTCCCGGGTTCACGCCATTCTCCTGCCTCAGCCTCCTGAGTAGCTGGGACTACAGGCGCCCGCCACCACGCCCAGCTAATTTTTTGTATTTTTAGTAGAGATGGGGTTTCACCGTGTTAGCCAGGCTGGTCTCGATCTCCTGACCTTGTGATCCGCCCATCTCAGCCTCCCAAAGTGCTGGGATTACAGGCGTAAGCCACTGCGCCCAGCCTATTATCCAAAGTTTTTTTTAGAATGCCTATGTTGTGCAAATTTCCATGTTGAGTAGTTGGAATATCGCCATGAACAAGGTGAATATAATCTTGCTCTTCATGGAATGTACATATTAGCAAAGGGGGACAAATGTTAACAAGTTATTGCATTATTAATTATTTAATTACATTGTGATAAGTATCATGAAGGAGAGATAGAAGCCCTGTGAGACACTTGGCAAACTTTTGTGGTGCATGGGTGGGAAGAGCATCTCAGCAAATAGAATAGCTTATAGGAAGGCCCCTGAGGCCAGAGCTAGCACAGGGAACTCACCCACTCCTTCCACTCACTCTGCTACAGCAGCACTGAACTAATCATTATCCCCTGAACAGAGCCACAGTGATGCCTAGGCTCAACTGTTCCCTCTGTGTGATTTCTCCTTATCACTCGCCTATCCCCAACACCTCTATCTGTCAAAATGTCAAGAACTTGTTTCTTTCCCAGAGGTTTTGTCCATGGAGGCTCCCTTGGTCTGGAATTTACTTTACTGCCCTTTGCATTTTTATTTTAGCGTATATCTCTTCATTGTCTATGTTTGTGAGCTACATGAGGGCAAGTGATATGTTGTGTTCAGCTTGGCAAGATCCTGCCATGTGGAATCCCAGTTTAACCACAATTTACTTCTGTGGCAAAGTTACAACCAGATTGTGCCAGACTGGAAACTACAATGACATCAGAAAAAACTTCAAACTTGTTTACCAAGAGTTTTAGAAAAATCAGCATTGCAAAACCACAAATTCATGGGGTTTCTGACAGGTAGCCAAGACCCAGGACCTTTTTGAGCTTCCTTTGCACTGTCAACCCACCGACTAGGCATGAAATAAAAAGCCCTGAGCTATGTAACTTGATTTGTCCATGTTGAATAATGCCAACTGTCCACATCTGCAGGCAGGGAGTCAGTGTGGTATGGTTAACCTTTTTCTTGCTCCTTCCATAAGGAATGAATTCCAAGGAATATCTGCCCCCAAACCATGCCAGGTTGCAAGACAAGGTATCTAGAGTTGGGGGATACTCAGGTGAGCTCAGAGTAAGAGTTAAAATAAAGGTCCACATTCCATATCTCTAAATACCTGTATTTAAAATGTATAAATTAAGCTCACATACTATTAAATACAATTGTTCTACCCCCTACCTTGACAAATACACACTGAAAACAACAGAGAAGGGCGGGTTACAATTTGGAATTCTCTAGCATCTTGCAACATGGAGGCTCAGGAAGAACCATCCCCTACCATGCTCCAGGAATTCTCCCTCCTCTCTTCCTACCCCTGGCTTCATCCTGCACCAAGAATGTCTCGCATGCACACATGTGTAAATATCCTAGCCCACACATCCAAGCTGCATCATACCTCTGAAAAACTGATGCCCCTTGGCTACCTCTCCCAGAGATGCAGGAGATTCATCCTCAGGAGAATAGACCCAGAGAAGAGGTCTCTGTAGGCCCTTGAAGCATGTTCAAGGCTATTTGAGCAGGGAACTATTGGGTCTGGAAGCATGGCCTTGAAGGAAGGATATGAGCTCCTGGTGAGTCCTTTCCTTTGGTTTCATGGACCCTTCACCTTACAGGGAGAGTCATAGCCAGAGAAAGGCCAGAGTGGAGCCTTCAGGAGGGGTGCAGTCAGCAGCCAGTAGGGATCATACTTGAGCAGATAGTCTGCTAGAAGTTGCTTCATCTTCCAAATGGTCCCTAAAGTTATGTCCCTAATAGCACAAACAGTGCTATTCACTCTACTTAAGGACGTTGAGGTCTTCTATTTTCCGTAGGATAAAATCTAACATATTTTAAAATTCCCTCACAATCTTATTCAAACTACTCTCTGTAGTCTTATCTGCCATAATCCAGAATATCCTCTACCTTTTACTGGTCAAACTGAATTACTTGTGAAAATTTTATGTAATCATCCATAAAATTTCTAATTATGAAATCCAGAGGTCTTTCTGAATACATCAAAAGCCAAAAAATGAGTTTTTGACCCAGAAATTCCATTTTTAGAAATTTATCCTAAGGAAATAGTTAAGGATGTGAGTAAAGATTTTGCTAACAGGATGTTCAATACAGTGTTGCTTAAAATACTTTTATTGACATGAAGGGAAAAAAGAGCCTTTGCTCTGGTAGTTTCTTTTTTCTAGAATATTATTACTGCCTGGAGAATGTTATCTCTACATGAAGAAAACATGACATAACTTTCACTTGACCAAATAAGAGTACTGTTAATGACTTCCACCTCAGTGTTTCCACAGTACTTTTTTCAAATTTCCATTTTCTTACCCATCATGGGAGTAACTGGCTGTATATATGTCTTTTTCTTTTTTTCTAGGGTGGGCGCTTCTCTGGGCAGAGGCCTCTTATGCATCTTTATCTCACCCTCATTCTCAGCTGATGATCTTTCTTTCTATTTCACAAGGAAAATAGAAGCATTTGGAAGAGAGTTCCTGCATGTTCCCATCACCTCCGGCCACCTGCATCTGAACTTATATATCTTTCCTTCCCTCTTGCTCTTCTCCATATTTTTATACAAGGCCAATGCTCCATTTATACTTTAGATCTCTGCCCTCACCACTCAAGAACTTCACTCAACAATTCTCCCCTCTCTCTTCTACATTATGAAATTCGACCACTCTATTGGATATTGCCATAAATATACAAATATATTGTCTTATATTCTTTTTTAAAAAACTCTCTCCTGGACCTGCATTCCTATCTAGTCTAGTCACTGGCACATGCTCTTCTTTACAATATAATCTATTCTAGCTGTCTCTTAAGTCTAAGTTCTGTCTTGGAGGCTTTTGTCCCATACCAAGGTTACCAATGACCTCCACATCACTAAATCCAGTGGTCAATTCTTATCATCTTACTTGTCCCACGGCAGTGTTTGACATGATTGATCACTCTGTCCTAGGCAAAACAATTTCTTCTAGAACATCACATTTGCCTGGTCAGTCTTTCCCAGGCTCCTTTCCTGGTTCTTTCTTATCAGCCCCATGCTTTCAATGGTTGAACAGCCAGGGCTTTATCCTCAGACTACTTTATTTACACTCATGCCTTCCTGAAGTGATCTCATCCAGTTTTATAACTTTCATGTCATCTTTCTGCCAACAACTCCTAAATTTGTATTGGTAGCTCAGACTTTGCCTCTGATCCCAGTCTTGTATACCCACCTGCCTACTTAACATCTGCATTTGAATGTCTAATAGGCATCTATCTCATTCATGTCCAAACCTGAGCTCCTTTCTTTTTCCCAACCTGCACTCACATCTTCCCCAGCTCAGGTACTGGCAACTTCATCCTTTTATTTTCTCAGGCCAAAATCTTTATCATGCCAGTCTCCTCTTTTTTTTTCATATATCACTACAAATTACATATATCTTCAAAATATATCCAGAGTCTGGTGACATGTCTAATCATTTATCATCACCTTCACTGTGATGAACCACTAGCTCTTGTGGTTCAAGCCAACATCATCTCTCACTTGGATTATTATAATGGTGACCTTCTTGCTTCTGCTCTTGGACCCTGCATTTCCTCACTCCCACCACCACCCATCTTTATCAACTGAGCTGCCAAAGTCAACTTCTTAAAACCTTATATTATAAATAGGGTTTATAAAACAGAGCTTTGTATCTCATTTAGAGTGAAAGCCAGAGCCTTCACAATGGCCTGCAGGCCCTGTTTGATGGGCTCTATCACCTCTCTGCCTTCATTCCTCCTTACCCTGTCTCTCTCCTGTTCTGCTCCAGCCACATTGGCCTTCTTTTAATTGAATCCATCAAGGGGGCTCTTGCCTCAGAGCCTGTGCTCCTGCTAATTCCTTTGCCTTAAACATTCCCCAGATAACCTTGTGGCTTGCTTCTTCACTCCTACAGACAGTTGTTCAGATGTCATTCTATAATTGAGGCCTTTCCTAATAGTCCACATGAAATAGTAGCCTCCACAGATATACACACCACCTTTCTCTGTAACTCTCATTCTTTTTTCCTTGCTTTATTTTTTCCTCCATAGCATTTACCACCATTGGACATGTTGTATATTTCCTTTTAAAAAATCAGTTTCCTATCTGTCTCTCCCAAATAAAATGTTAACTCCACAAGGGCAGGGCTTTGCCTGTTTCATTCACTGTTTTATTCTTGTTATCCTGAATGGTGCTTGGCATATAGTAAACATTCAATAAATATTCATTGAATGAATAACTGGTGTGTAGGACATCATACACCATCAGGTAAGTTTGAGTGTACAGAAAGTAGAAATAATTTTACAGTGTATGCCCCATACATTCAACACTTAGATTCTATCCTAAACATCTTACATCTTACCATATTTGTTTTAACATATATTTATCCATCTATCCATACTTATAGTCATCCATCAGTCTCTCTTTTTTGACACATGTCAAAGTAAATTAACTACTGTTCACTTTCATCAAAATAATTCAGCGTGCATATCATTAACTATAGTTCTGTATTTATTTACAGTATTTTCTCTTGAAAGAAAAGTTGACATATAACAAAATGCCCAAATCTCAAAAGTACATTCACTACATTTTAGCAGATGCATACACATGTTTAATTGAAATACCTATCAACATGGAAAGTGCTGCATTCACTCCAGAAAGTTCCTCCGATCTCTTCCCATTCACTCCAGCCACTGAACCCCTTGCCATGTTTCTGATATTTTTCACCTTAGCTTGAATTTACCTAATTTACCTAAATGAACCCTGTAGAAGTTCATATAAATGAAATCATACAGTATGTACTCTTTTCACACAGCATCTTTTTGAAGTTCAACTAAGTTGTTGCATGTAGCAGTTGTTTGTTACTTTTGATAATAGAGTAATATGAATGTAGTATTTCATAACGTGATTATAGGTCAGTTTCTTTATCTATTTTCCTATTGACAGACACCTGGGCTGTCTCTAATATTTAGCTATTAAGCTGCTATGAACACTGTTGTATAAGTATTTTTGGGGGCGCTTCGCATAGAAGTTCAGTAATTCCAGCACCATCTATTTAAAATAAAGTTCTTTCCCATGGGCAATTGGATTGCTTTGGTACCTTTGCTGAAAAATAAGATAACTGCATAATTGGAAGTCTGTTTCTGGGCTCTTTATTTTGTTCCATTGATCTATTTGTTGATTCTATAATGAGGTTGAATGGTGTTACCCCCAAAACATATGTTGAAGTCCTAACCTAAACTCTAACACCTCAGAATGTGACCTTATTTGAGAATAGGGTTGTTGCAGATTTTATAAGTTAAGATGAAGTCATACTGGGGTAGGGTGGCCCCTCATTTAATATAACTGGCATCTTTATAAAAAGATGGCATGTGAAGACAGAGACACACAGAAAACAGCCATGTGATGAAGAGGCAGATAGCAGAGTGATGCATCTACAAGCCAAGGAACACCAAAGACTGCCAAAAACTACCAGAAGCTAAGAAGAGGTAGGAAAGAATTTCTCCTTTAGAGCCATCAGAAGGAGCGGGGCCTTGCTGACACCTTGATTTCAACTTCCAGCCTCTAGAACTGTGAGACAATAAAGTTCTGTTGTAAAAAACGCCCAGTTTGTTTTGTGGTACTTCGTTACATACTCCTAGAAAATTAGTAAAATCCTTATCCACATACCATAGTCTTAATTACTGTAGCTTTACAATAAGGCTTCAAACTTTGCATAGGTCCTACAAGGTTGATTTTTTCTATGATTGTTTTGGACATTCTAAGTCATTTGCATTTCCATATATATTTTAGAATCACCTTGTCAATTTCTACAGGAAAGCCTGCTTAGATTGAGACTGGAATTGCATTGAATCTATAGGTTACTTGGGGAAAATAAAATCTTAATAATTAAATTTTTTCAATCTATGAACATAGTATATTTCTCCACTTACTTAATTCTTCTTCTATTTCTCGCATCAGTGTTATAGTTTTCAATGTAGAAATCCTACACATATTCTAGTCTAATTATAAAAATGTTATGTTTGTTAATGAAGTTGTTCATAAAATTGTATCTAAATTTTTGTTTTCTAATTATTTCCTTCTGATTTATCAAATATAATTGATTTTTGTATACTATTAACCTTTCATCTTGTGACTTTGCTAAGTTTACATATTAATTACAATGGTCATTTTATAGATTTCTTAGGATTTCCTATGTAAAAATGCTTCATCTGAAATGCAGTCTTAATTATTCTTTTTTACTGTTTATGACTTTTATTTATTTTAAATACATATATTATCATTATATGAGGTCTGGATAGTAGAATTCATTCTCTCAGTGTTATGTGGGATCTTTAAAACGGTGACTTCTTATGTGTTTACTTGCCTTTGCTAACATCTTGAGATTCTTCTCGGGCAGGCAGGAGCTTTTCTCTCCTTGGTATTTCACATAACTTTCCTTGAGCTGCCTTGTTGCTGCCTCATTTTGCTTCTATTTAAATTAGAGGATCATAGTGAAAATTCTCAGAAATATACCTGCTCGCATTCTTTCTCCAGCATTGATTATTCAGGGAAGTGGTGAGATTAAGGAAGATGATGCTGAGTTGTCGTAGGATTTTCTCTTTCTTTTCTTGTTGCTATCTTTTAATTTTTTGACATGATATTATACTCTTTCTTTGTATAACTGATAAATTTTTATGCTTCTTTCAAAACTCCTTTTCTTTATTTTGTGAGGTATTTGAGGGAGGATGTTCTTGTGATATGGCTTAATTTTTCTACCTTTATCAAGAATTTTCACGCTTAATCTTTAGAGCCAAGACCTCAAATGCAAATGCTAAAGAGACTAAAACACAACATAAATGAATGAAATTAGCTGGGTGGAAACTGTGGAAAATGGAGATCACAGAGTTTGTCTAGAAAAAGACATCACTACACGGCTCCTGTGAAATGTTGCCATGTTGGAATGTGGCCAAGGCTTAACGATTTTTGAAGAGAAGCTGGAAATTAGATTTTTAAAATGTGATGTTAAATGTCTCTATTTTTAAGAATTGGTGACTAGTTTAAATTTTAAAAATATACTGAAGGCAAAAATAAATATCTACAGACTGGATAGAGTGGGCAGGCTATCAGTTTCCTTTGGAGAATCACTTCATAGAGGGTTTAGTTAGTCCTTTGGTGCTATTGTAAGGTAGAATGGCATTTTAACCTAGATAGAAAATTCTGATGCAGTTCCACAACAACAACAACAACAACAACAAAACCGGTAAAGTCAATCAGAGAACAGTGATCTAGGGTTTAGTATTGTAAAAGGAGACAGAATCTGTACTTTAAAACATCATATCTCCCTAATTCTCCAGTATTACCTGCCTTGGATGGCTGTAAAGGCGGGATTTAAAGCCCATTCTTTTCCTCTTTTGTGGTTGACACAGTCATATTATCCGTCAGAATTGGTTCAGGAGAATTGCAGATAGAGAAGAGAAAACATTTTCTCCAAGCCTGGATCCAGGGAAACCCATTGACTTACTGAGACTAGTACACACTCTGCAAAAGGATCAAGAGAAAATGAATGGTAGTAAATAGGTGTTTGCACATTCGGCTCTGCTACTTATCCATATAGTCAACCCTTATGTATATTTAACTTCTCATCTGTTCATTCATTTCATCCACCAATCTCTCCACCCACCTTAGACCCCATTAATATAAAATTGAAAACTTTTGAGTGGTTCCCAACCCTGATCATGCATCTGAATAAGCTAAGAAACTTTTTAAAATAAGACATACAAGACTTACACTTCTGAGCATGGATAATTTACTCTCCCACTGTAAATAACTAGAAAACTGTACCATATATATGAGATCATTGGTTTCAGATCTTTGGCAGCAGACAGTGCATAAATGTAATACCTGAGAGAAGAGAAACAAAAAAGATGATTCCTATGAGTGTCCTGTCTTTCTTGAAAAACATTCTAGACTACAACACAGGGAAGGAGATCATGATAAGTATGCAGTGGTCTTGATGAGTTTTTGATACTGGAGTTCAATAAAGCTGAGGTGGTTGGAAGTTTTGTGCTAGAGTTCTGAAGAGAAGAAAGCTTTACAGAAAAAGAGCTACAAAAATATGAACAGATATCTGTATTAGTCTGTTCTCACACTGCCATAAAGACATACCTGAGACTGGGTAATTTATGAAGAAAAGAGGTTTAATCAACTCACGGTTTTACAGCCTCTACAGAAAGCATGGCTGGGGAGGCCTTAGGAAACTTACAATCATAGCAGAAGGTAAAGGAGAAGCAAACGGATCTTACGTGGTGGACAGGAGGTGGGGGTAGGTGGGGAAATGCCACACACTTCTCAAACAACCAATCGCATGACAAATCAATCATAAGGCACAACAAAGAATAAGTCTGCTTCCATGATTCAATTACCTCCCACCAGGCCCCTCATCCATCACTGGGAACCACAAATTGACATGAGACTTGCGTGGGGACACAGAGCCAAATTATATCATCCTGTCCTGGCTCTTCCCAAATCTCATGTCCTTTTCACATTTCAAAACATAATCATGCCTTCCCAACAGTCCCCCAAAGTCTTAACTCATTATACCATTAACTCAAAAGTCCAAGTCCAAAGTCTCATTTGAGACAAGGCAAGTCCCTTCTGCCTATAAGCCTATAAAATAAAAAACAAGTTAGTTACTTTCAAGATAAAATGTGAGTACAGGCATTGGGTAAATACTCCCTTTCCAAAAGGAAGAAATTGGCCAAAACCAAGGGGCTAAAGGTCAGATGCAAGTCCAAAGCCCAGCAGGGCAGTTGTTAAATCTTAAAGCTCCAAAATAATTTCCTTTGACTCCATGTCTCACATCCAGGCCACACTGATGCAAGGGGTGGACTCCCAAGGCCTTGGACAGCTCTGCCCCTGTGGTTCTGCAAGGCTCAGCTCCCATGGCTGCTCTCAAGGGCTGGCATTGAGTGCCTGCAACTTTTCCAGGCTCACGGTGCAAGCTGTTTGCAAGTGGATCTACCATTCTGGGTTCTGGAGGATGGTAGTCTTCTTCTCACAGCTCCACTAGGCAGTGCCCCAGTGGGGATTATGTATGGGGGCTCCAACCTCACATTTGCCCTCCTCACTGTTCTAATAGAGGTTCTCCATTTGGGCTCTGCCCCTGCAGCAGAATTCTGCCTGGACATCTAGGTGTTTCCATACATCCTCTGAAATTAAGGCAGAGGTCTCAAGTCTCCACTGTTGCCCTCTGTGCACCCACAGGCCCAACACCATGTGGAAGCTGCCAAAGCTTGGAGTTTACACACTCTGAAGCAAGGGTCTGAGCTGTACCTTAGCTCCTTTTAGCCATGACTGGAGCTGGAGCAGCTGAGACAAAAGGAGCCATGTTCTGAGGTTGCACAGAGCAGCAGGGCCCCAGGAACAGCCCATGAAACTATTTTTCCCTCCTACACCTCCAGGTCTGTGATGGGAGGGCCTGCTGTGAAGGTCTCTGAAATGCCCTAGAGGCATTTTCCCCATTGTCCTGGCTATTAATATTTGGCTCCTCCTCTTTACTTATGCAAATTTATGTAGCTGGCTTGAATTTCTCCACAGAAAATGGGATTTTCTTTTCTACCGCATAGTCAGGCTGCACGTTTTCCAAACTTTTATGCTCTGCTTCACTTTTAAATATAAGTTCCAATTTAAGAGCATCTCTTTGTGAATGCATATAAGCATATGTTGTTAGAAGCAGCCAGGTCACATTATTGAACTCTTTGCTGCTTAGAAATTTTTTCTGCTAGATACCCTAAATCGTCTCTCTCAAGTTCAAAGTTCCACAGATCCCTAGAGCAGTGGCACAATGCTGCCCATCTCTTTGCTAAAGCATAGCATGAACGACCTTTACTTTATTTCCCAGGAAGTTTCTCATTTCCATCTGAGACCTCATCAGCCTGGACTTCAATATCCATATCACTATTAGCATTTTGGTCAAAACCATTCAACAAATCTCTAGGAAGTTCCAAACTTTCCCTCATCTTCCTGTCTTCTTCTCAGCCCTCCGAACTGTTCCAATCTCTGTCTGTTACCCAGTTCCAAAGTCATTTCCATATTTTCAGGTATCTTTATAGCAATGCCCCACTACTCAATATCAGTTTTCTATATTAGTCCATTATCACACTGCTATAAAGACATACCAGAGCTTGGGTAATTTATGAAGAAAATAAGTTTAATTGACCCATGATCCACAAGTTGTACAGGAAGCATGGCTGGAGAAGCCTTAAGAAACTTACAATCATAGCAAAAGGTGAAAGGGAAGCAAGCATGTCTTACATGGTGGGCAGGAAAGAGAGAGAGAGAGAAGGGGGAAGTCCCACACACTTTTCAAACAACCAGATCTCATGAGAACTCTATCACAAGAACAGCAAGGGGTAAGTTCACCCCCACAATTAAATCACCTCCCACTCGGCCCCTCCTTCAACACTGACAACCACAGCTTGACATGAGATTTGGGTGGGGACACAAAGCCAAACCATATCAACACTCTCTTGACTATTCCTGAATACTAGGATTCACATGCATAGAGTTAAACTTCTTGAGTTGGGTCAAAGAGTAAGTAAGAATCTATGAGAAGAATGGTTCCCAGAGCTTACATATACAGAGGAAGGGTTCCACCTTCAAACAGAGTAGAGAATTCTCACTGATCACTTTTTACATTCAGTAAAGATCCCCAAAAACTTATTAATGAAGCTACAACTTATTTGAAATTAAATGATTCTTAAAATAAAGGCTATGCTAGATCCACCTTAATAAGCTTAAAAACAAAGCTGAAAAAGATAACACTGAATCACAAGAAACCTAACTCCCTATCAGAAGAAAACCTTACTCATTAAAGTAAAGAAAAACAACAAAATCCAGATATTGGACAACACATAAATCATATTATCCAGTAAAAATGTCTTAGACATTGCAAGCAGGAAAATGTGATCCATAACCAAGAGAAAAATCAGTTAACAGAAACAGACCATAAATGACAAAAATGATATAATTAGCAGAAAAGAACATTAAAACCACTATTTTAACTATGTTCGGATATTTAAAGGAAAACATAAAATAGTGAAAGAGGAATGTAAAATATTTTTTAAATCAAATAAAAATTTTAGAAATAAAAACAATATCTGAAATAGAAAATTCATTGGATAAGATTAACAGCAGATTAGACACTTCATAAGAAAATATTAGTGAGCTAGAAGATGGAACAATAGAAACTCTTCACAGTGAATCTTACAGAGAGTAAATATTGAAAAGAAATAAAGTCTCGGTAACATGTGGGACAATATTAAGTGGTCTAATATTTAAGTAATTGGAGTCCTATAAAGAGAAGAAACGGTAAATTTTTTTTCAAGAAATATGGCCAAAATATTTACAAATGCAATAAATCTCAGATCCAAATACTTCAATGAAACCCAGAAAGACAAGCACAAACAATACAAGACAAAGACATGTGGTACTCAAATTGCTGAACACTAAAGATGATCTGAAAAATCTTTAAAATATGTATACATACTATATGCAAAGAAACAAAGATCAGAGTGATAGTAACCTTTTTGTTAGAATCTAGGCAAGTGAGAAGAGAAAATAGCATTTTTAAACTCTGAAAAACTTTTGATAACCTAAAATTCTAAGCCCAGCAAAAACATCTGTCACATATGGAGATAAAGTAAATATATTTCAGTCAAAGCACAGCTGGTAAGACTTACCACCATTACATCTTCATTATAAGAATTGATATAGAAGTTCTTTGAGAGGAAGAACACTAATACAATAAATAAATTTGGATATAAATTAAGAAATAAAGAGAACTGAAAATATTAAACATGTAAGGCAATAAAATACTTATACTCTATTTTTTTATTTTGTTAAAAAACAGCTGTCTGTTTAATGCCAAGGTAATATCAATGTGTTGTGGATTTTACAACAAACAAAAATAAATTCTATGACAATAACAAAGAACAGTAGGAAAGAATTTGCAGATTATTATTGCACATTTTACATTAAGCACTGAAAGTATAAATAAAAGTTAAAACAGGAATAAATAGTAAGATAAAACTAAAGACAAATTTAAATAAAAAAATTAATTAAAAGAAGATAGGACATGAGAAAAAGAAAAGAGCAACAATGAATACATGGCATGAATGTAAAACAAATCATAAGATAATAGACCTAACAACTATCAAATTAATAATTGCATTAAATGTAGGTGGTCTAAACACTGCATTTAAAAGGCAGAGATTTTCAGAATGAATAAGAAAGTAAGAAAAAACTATGTATGTACATATACATGTATATATTTTTTCCTATGGCACTAAGTTTTGTTAAAGATTTCATTCAAGTTAAATTTCTAGGAATTAAGGAGTCCTAGGTAGAGGGCACAAAAGCTTATGAAGCCCTTAGATCTCATAGTGAAACACTAGCTCAGGTTCTTTGGTGGATCACTGTCTTGTCCCAAGTACAGATTATTAAAAGGATACTGCTTTGGCCCCACAGGCTGGTAGGTAGAATAATTCTCCACTACATAGAACATAAAGTTCATGAAGGTCAGGAAGCTGAAGAGATTATTGAACATGATATTCCAAGAAACAGGGGTGGAGGGCCATATCCACATGGTTCCTGATATACTTGTCCAGATGCCAGTGTATCAGTTCACCCCAGTTCAACCTCAAGTCTTGGTGGTCCCAGTCAAACCACAGATCCCTCTCCTACTGTGAATGGTCAAAGAACTTTGAGTAGTTACCATACTCCATGCCATCATCCAAGTAAGGCTGATAGTCTTCCACACACATATTATACTTCTTGGCAGCGGTGGCCCATTCTTCTGGGGTCTTGGAATAGAACCCCAGGGGCATGTCCTTGATCATGTGGAAGGATGGCCATGCACTCAATGACACCACATTCTGGGTTGCCCTTTGTAGCCACTAGATTCCCAGGACCCCTGCCCTGGCTACTTCCAACTTCACCCAAAATTATATTAGGTCTAAAAGTAACCTAGGTCAAATAAAAAAACACAGGGCTAGTCACGGTGGCTCACGTCCGTAATCCCAGCACTTTGGGAGGCCAAGGCAGGCATATCACCTGAGGTCAGGAGTTTGAGACCAATCTGGCCAACATGGTGAAACCACATCTCTACTAAAAATACAAAAATTAGCCAGGCATGGTGGTGTATGCTTGTAATCCCAGCTACTCGGGAGGCTCAGTCAGGAGAATCACTTGAACCCAGGAGTCAGAGGTTGCAGTGAGCCAAGATCGTGCCATTATACTCCAGCCTGGGCAACAAGAGTGAGAATCTGTCCAAAAAAAAAAAAGGCAGGTAAATTAAAATAAAAGGATAAAAAAATACATCATGAAACATTAGTCAAAGATGTCCAGAATGACTATATTATAATCAAACAAAGCAGACTTTAAAATAAGGAATATTACCAGAAACAAGAAGAGACATTTCATAGTGATAAAAGGGTCAATTTATCAAGAATAAAAATCTTAATTTTAGTGAATACATCTAATAAAAGTTTCAAATACAGGATGCAAAACCTATATTTGAAACTAAAAATAAAAGAAATTGACAAATCAACAAATATAGCTGGAAACACTAGCATTACTCTCACAATAATTGATAACAAAAATAGATATATCAGTAAAGATATAGATGACTTTTAAAAGGCTATTAACCAAACCTGTCCTAATTGACATTTATAGAACTACACACAACAGCAGAATATGTATTCTTTTCCATTGTTCATAAAACATTCACCAGGACAAACCATATTTTGAGATAGAAATCTGTTTCAATGAATTCACAAGCATTGAAATCATATGGAGTTGTTCTTTCAACAAGATGGAATGAAATTAGAAATTGATAACAAAGACATCTGCATAATGCCAACTTTGGAAACTGAACAGCATATGTAAATTAAACAATACATTTCTAAGCAATTAATGGGTCAAGTAAAAAATCATAAAGGCAGTTAGAAAACATTTTAACTGCATAAAAATGAAAACAAAATATGAAGACTTTAAAGCTGCAGCTAAAGTAGTAATAATAAGAAAATTTATATTATTAAATGTATACCTTAAAAGAAGAAAAATGTGAGATAGTTTATCTAAGCTTCTACCTTAGTAAGCTAGAGAAATAAAAGCAAACTAAACCCAAAATAACAAGAAAGAAGAAAATAATAAAAATAAGACAGAATTCAATGAGAAAAAATAGACAAACTATAGGGAAAATTGATTAAAACAAAGCTGTTCTTTGAAAAGAGTATTGAAGTTGACATATCTAGACTGATCAAGAACAAAGACAAAAGGTACAGATTATCAAGAAAATGAGCGGGCAAAGCAAGATGGCCAAACAGAAGCCTGCAACAATTATCCCCCCACCAAAGGAACACTAAATTTTAACAACTAACTACACACAAAAAAGCACTATCACAAAAAACAAAAATCAGGTGAGCAATCACAGTACCTGATTTTAACTTCATATTGCTGAAAGAGACATTGAAGAGGGTAGGAAAGACAGTCTTGAATTGCCTATGCCACTTCTCCTCCACTCCCTGGCAGTGGCCACATGGCATAGAGAAACAATCTGTGCACTTGAGGCAGGGCAAGCACAGTGACTAGGGGTCTTGGCATTGAACTCAGTGCTGCCCTGTCACAGCAGGGAGCAAAACCTTGCTTGGTTCAGCTGGCACCCACTCACAGAAGGAGCATGTGGACCAGCCCCAGCCAGAGGGAAATTGCCCATCCCAGTGGTTGGAACTTGAGTTTCAGCAAAACTTGCCACTGCAGGCTAAAGTGCTCTTGGGTTCTAGGTAAACTTGAAATGCAGTCTAGGACACAAGTACCGCAATTTCTAGGCGAGGCCTAGTGCTAAGGCTGGACTTACAGCCAGTAGACTAAGGCAGCACGTGACCTAGGAAGACACCAGCTGGGGCAGCTAAGGGTGTTGCTTGTGCCACCACTTGTGAAACCCAAGCTTGTGAAACCCAAGCAGTGCAGCTTGTAGCAATGATAGTAACTCCTTCCTTCTGCTTGAGGAGAGGAGAGTGAAGAGTAAAGTGGTATTTGTCTTGTGTCTTTGATACTAGCTCATCCACAATAGGATAGTGCACCAGGCAGAGTTGTCAGGCCCCTATTCCAGGCCCTAGTTCACAGACATTTCTAGACACAACCTGGGCCAGCAGGAAACTCACTGCCTTAAAGGGAAGAACTAATCCTGACAGAATTAATCACCTGCTGACTAAACAGGCTTTGGGCCCTGAGTAACGAATAAGAATACCCAAGTAGTACACCATGGGCCTTGGTTGAGACTCTGAGACATGCTGGCTACAGGTGTGACCCAGTATATTCCCAGCTGTGGTGGCTAGGGTGAAAGATCTTCTGCTTGAGAAAAGCAGAGTGCAAGTAAAGGAGACTTTGTCTTGAACTTTAGATAACAGCTCAGCCACAGTGGGGTAGAGCATGAAGCAGGCTCTTGGGGTTCCTGAGTCCAGGCCTAGACTCTTAGACAGAATTTCTGGACCTGCTCTGGGCCAGAAGGGAAGGACATAAGCCTGGCTGGCTTCCTCACTTGCTGACTGTAGGGCCCAAAGAAGGCCTTCAGTGAACATAGGCCATAGCCAGGTAGTGATTACAGCAGGCATTGGGCACGACTCAGTGCTATGCTGGCTTTAGGTCTGACTCAGCACAGCCCCAGTGGTGGTGGTCACAAAGGTCACAAAGGTTCACCCCAGCCCCAGTTGGCTTAGCACAGAGAGAGAGAGACTCCATTTCTTTGAGGGAAAGTAAGGGAAGAGAACAAGAGTCTCTGCCTGATAATCCAGAGAATTCTTCCAGCTCTTATCCAAAACCACCAAGGCGGTACCTGTACAAGTCTACAAGAACCACAGCAATTTGGGGCTTGGGGACCAAGTCTCTCTGAATAGCTGGAAAGCCTTCCCAAGAAAGATGGGCACAAATAAGCCCAGACTGTAAAGACTACAATGAATGCTTAACTCTTCAATGCACAGAAACTGATAAACATCCACAAGCATCAAGACTATACAGGAAAATAAGACCTTACCAAATGAACTAAATAAGGCACCAAAGAGCAATTCTGGAGAAAGAGAGCTATGTGACCTTTCAGAAAGAGTATTCAAAATAGCTGTTTTGAGGAAACTCAAAGAAATTCAAGATAACACGGATAAGAAATTCAAAATTCTAGCAAATAAATTTAACAAAGAGATTGAAATTGAATAATGAAAAAGAAATCAAGTAGAAATTCTAGAGTTGAAAAATGCAATTGACATTCTGAAGAATGCACCACAGTCTCTTAATAGAAGAGTTGATCAAACAGAAGAATGAGTGAGCTTGAAGACAGGCTATTTGAAAATACACAGTCAGAGGAAACAAAAGAAAAAGGAATGAAGTATACCTACAAGATCTAGAAAATTGACTCAAAAGGGAAAATCTAAGAGTTATTAGCCTTAAAGAGGAGGTACAAAAATATATAGGTGTAGAACGTTTATTCAAAGTAATACTGTCAGAAAACTTCCCAAACCTAGAGAAAGGTAACAAGGTTCAAGGACAAGAAGGTTATAGAACACCAAGCAGATTTAACCCAAAGAAGACTACCTCAAGGCATTTAATAATCAAACTCCCAAAGGTCAAGGATAAAGAAAAGTTCTTAAAAGCATCAAGAAAAAAAAAATTATACAATGGAGCTCTAATACATCTGGCAGCAGACTTCTCAGTGGAAACCTTGCAGACCAGGAGAGAGTGGCATGGCATATTTAAAGCGCTGAAGCAAAAAACGTTTTACCCTAGAATAGTATATCCAGCAAAAATATCCTTCAAGCATGAAAGAGAAATAAAGACTTTCCCAGAAAAACAAAAGCTGAGAGAGAAATACTAAAGGGAGTTCTTCAATCTGAAAGAAAAGAACATTAATGAACAATAATAAATAATCTGAAAGTACAAACCTCACTAGTAAGAGTAAGCACACGGAAAAACACAGAATATTATGACAATGTAATTGTGGTGTGTAAACTAAACCCTAAGTAGAAAGACTACACAACAAACCCATCAGAAATAATAACTATATCAACTTTTCAAGACATGGTACAATAAGACAAAGAGAAACAACAAAAAGTTAAGAAGTGGGAGACAAAGTTACAGGGTAGAGTTTTTATTAGTTTCCTTTTGTTTGTTTGTTTATGCAATCAGTGTTAATTTGTCATCTGCTTAAAATATATCATAGTATTTGCAAGCCTCACAGTAACCTCAAGTAAAAATCATGCAATGGATATTCAAAAAATAAGAAGCAAGAAATGAAAATATACCACCAATGAAAATCACCTTCACTGAAAGGAAAGCAGGATGGAAGAGAAGAAGGAAAAGACCACAAAGCAACCAGAAAACAAATAACAAAATGGCAAGCATAAGTCTTTACTTCTCAATAATAACATTGAATGTAAATGGACTAAAATATCAATAAAAAACTATGAAGTAGCTGGACGAATAAAAAGCAAGACCCAATGATCTGTTGCTACAAGAAAAATATTTCATCTATAAAGATACACATAGACTAAAGATAAAGGATGGAAATATAGTTCATGCCAATGGAAACCAAGAAAAGAGCAGGAGTAGCTATACTTATATATCAGACAAAATGTATTTCAAGGAAAAACTGTAAGAAGAGACAAAGAAGGTCATTATAACATGATAAAGGGCTCAATTCAGCAAGAGAATAAAACAATTTTAAATATATATGCATCCAATGCAGTAGCACCCAGATATATAAAGCAAATATTATTAGAGCTAAACAGAGAGATAGACATCAATATAATAATAGCTGGAGACTTCAGCACCCCATCTTCAGCACTGGACAGACCTCTCAGACAGTAATTCAACAAAGAAACATCACAGTTAATTTGCACTATAGAAAAAAATGAACCTAATTAATCTTTACATATGATGTTATCCACTGGCTGCAAAATACACATTCATCTCCTCAGAAAATGTACCATTCTCAAAGAAAGACCATGTGGTAGGTCACAAAGCAAGTTTTAAAACATTCAAAAAATTGAAATAATACCCAGCATCTTCTCTGACCAAAATGGAATAAAAATAGAAATCAATAACAAGAGAAATTTTAGAAACTATACACCCACATAGAAATTAAACACTGTGCTCCTGAATGACTGATGGGTCAATGATGAAATTAAGAAGAAAATTGAAAATTTTCTTAAAACAAATGATAATGGAAACACAACATAGCAAAACCTATGGGATGCAGCAAAACAGTACTAGGAAGGAATTTTACAGCTATAAGTGCCTACATAAAAAAAACTTCAAATAAACAATCTAACAATGCATCTTAAAGAACTAGAAAAGCAAGATAAAACCAAACCCCAAATTAGTAGAAGAAAAGAAATAATAAACATCAGAGCAGAAATAATAAACATCAGAGCAGAAATAAATGAAATTGAAATGAAAGAAACAATACAAAAGATCAATAAAATGAAGTTTGTTTTTTGAAATGATGAATAAAATTAATAAACCTTTAGCCAGACTAACAAAGGAAATAAGACAGAAGACCTAAATAAAATCAGATATTAAAAAAGGAGACATATTGTTGATAATGCAGAAATTCAAAGGATTATTATGGCTACTATAATTCTTAGGCAATAAATTGGAAAACCTAGAGGAAATGGATATATTCCTAGACACATAAAACCTACCAATGTTGAGCCATGAGGAAATCCAAAACCTAAACAGACCAACAACAATTGACAAGATCAAAGCCATTAATAAAATGTCTGCCAGCAGAGACCTGGGACCTGATGGCTTCATTGCTGAATTCTACCAAACATGTAAAGAAGAACTAATGCTAATCCTACTCAAATTGTTTTGAAAAATAGGAGGGAATACTTCCATACTTCCAAACTCATTCTACGAGGCCAGTATTACCTTAAAACCCAAACCAGACAAAGACATGTTCAAAAAAAGAAAACTACAGGCCAACATCTCTGATAAAAATTAATGCAAAAATTCTTAACAAAATACTAGCAAACTGAATTCAATAATATATTACAAAGATCATAATTACCAAGTGGGATTGATTTTATGGATGCAAGGATGGTTCAACATTTGCAAATCAATCAGTGTGATACATCATATCAACAGGATGAAGGACAAAAGCCACATAATCATTTTATTTGATGCTGAAAAAGCATTTGATAAAATTCAACATCCTGCCATGATTAAAACAAACTGAAAAAACTGGGTATAGAAGGATCATATTTCAATATAATAAAAGCCATATATGACAGACCATCAGCTAGTATCATAGTGAATGGGAAAAAAACTAAAAGTCTTTTCTGTAAGATCTGGAGCAAACAAGGATGCCCACTTTCACCACTATTATTCAGTGTAGTACTGGAAATCCTAGCTAGAGGAGTCAGACAAGAGAAAGAAAGAAGTAAAAGGCATTCAAATTGGGAAGGAATAAGTCAAATTACCCTTGTTTGCAGATGATATGATCTTATATTTGGAAAAACCTTAAGACTCCACCAAAAAAAATTAGAACTTGTAAACAAACTTAGTAAAGTTGCAGGATACAAAATCAACATACAAAATTCAGTAGCATTTTTATATGCCCACAGTGTACAATCTGAAAAAGAAATTAAAAATAATCCCATTTATAATAGCCACACATAAAATTAAATAACTAGGAATTAACTTAACCAAAAAAATGAAAGATCTCTGTACTGAAAACTAGAAAACACTAATGGAAGAAATTAGAGAGGATGCCAAAAAATTGAACGATATTTTATGTTCCTTGATTGGAAGAATGAATGTTGTTAAAATGTCTATATTGTCACAGGATCCTTAGGATGTTGCTTTGCCAGCTGGAAACCTCTGTGGCCAGTGGCACCTTTGCCCAAGTTTTGCTTGGGCCCACTGGGCTCATTCCACCCATTCGACCTGGCAGACTGCGCTGGGCTTTCACTACCAGCCTGGATACCATGCCTGCCAAGGGTAAGCCAGGAATGGTGTGGTGAGGCTTGCATGAGCAGCGAGTACAGGGTCTGGCCACTGCACACAGCCAGACACTCTGGCTGCAGTGGGGCAGGCAGCTCCAGGCACCAGCGTAAGCACTGTCTCCCTGCTGCAACTGGACCAGACATACCGCAAGCGGCTTCCACTGTGGTCACTGGGAAATGTGGCAGCACCCAGAAGCTTGGAGATGCCAGGAACCACAGAACCCCAAAGAGGGTCTCACAGCCCTGGCTCAGGGAGCTCCTATGTCTGGGCTCCCCAAAGGGCCACAGTGCTTCTGTCCTTCTCTCTTTTCTCCTTCTTGTTGCCTGCAATGTGGCAAGCGAGGGGAAGGTGTGTTCCAGCACTGTTTGTGTTACAGCTCTTTCAGCCCTGCCATTTAGCAGGTCCTGAGTTCTTGTCCCATGTCCAGGAAAAATAAGAGATGTGGACTACTAGAGGGTGAGCAAGGTGAAGTGATGCTTTACTGAGTGACAGTACAGATTTCAGGAGAGCCAAAGTGAGTACCTTCTATGTGCAGGCAGGTCATCCCAATGAGTGTGCAGCCCTCAGCAGAGAGGAGATCCAGAGTGGGTAGCTCCTCTCCACAAGCAGGTCATCCTGTCATCTGCCCGAGTCTGACTGAATCCAGAGATTTTGTGGGCTTCAGAGGGGAGGAAGTACAAGCTGACTGGTCCATGGGTGGCCATGGGTGGGCCTGGAAAAAGCACAATAAGTTCTCACTCTGGTCCACAGAACTAGTAGCCTGGCCCCCAGGCTTCAGGCCATCCCTGGCTTAAAGGTGGAGTTTCACCAAGGACCTGCCCATTTCCACCCAGGAGCCTGTCTGCCTCCTGCCACCATTCATGATGCCCAGGCTGTTCATGCCAAGGGGAACCTGCAATCTTGTGCCAAGTCACCCTCAGCTACCCTAGGCTTCAGTAGTAGGGGATTTGTGTGTCAGTACCGGCCTGAGTGCAGGCACACCCAACCAGGTAGTGACAGCACCCAGGCTCAGCCACAACTCTACTCTGAAATCAGAGTGGGTACCAGGATTGGGAAAAGCCCAGGCAGTGGGAGCAGGCACTTCTGAACCTGTTGGGGTAGGAGGATTTTCTGTGTCCCCAAGACCACAAGGATGCCTGGGTCAGCAGACATAGCTGGGCAGCTACAGCTGCACCTGGGAGCACGGGGCTCCCACCCCACCAACTCGGACGGGGGTGGGGCTCCCACCCATTCCTGGCTCCCACGGGCCCCACAGAGCAAACAGCCCTGCCCAGGCCTCCTCTGCTGCAGCCAGTATCTTAGCAGCAGCCACTCCAGATGGGCCACTGCTGCCATCAATAGTACCAAAAGCAATCTACAGATTCAATGCAATCTTTACAAAAATACCAATGACATTCTTCACAGAAATAGAAAAAACAATACTAAAATTTATATGGAACCACCAAATACCCAGAATAGCCAAAGTTATCCTAAGCAAAAAGAACAAAAATGGAGGAATCACATTACCTGACTTGAAATTATAACCACAGAGCTATGGTAACCAAAACAGCATGGTACTGTCATAAAAACAGACACATAGACCAATGGAACAGAGTAGATAACCCAGAAATAAATGTATACACCTACAGCGAACTCATTTTCAACAAAGGTGCCAAAAACATACATTGGGGAAAAGACAATCTCTTCAATAAATGGTGCTGGGAAAACTGGATATCCATATGCAGAAGAATGAAACTCAATCTCTAGCTCTTGCCATCTATAAAGATCAAATCAAAATGGATGAAAGACTTAAAGGTATGAAACTATTACAAGAAAACATTGGAAAAACTCTCCAGGACATTGTTCTGGGCAAAAATTTATTGAGTAATAACCCACAAGCACAGACAACTAAAGCAAAAATGAACAAATGGAATCACATAAAGTTTAAAAGCTTCTGCACAGCAATGAAAACAATCAACAAAGTGAAAAGACAATCCACAGAATGGGAGAAAATATTTGCAAACTGCCAATCTTACAAGAGATTAATACCTGGAATATATAAAGAGCTCAAACAACTTTATAGGGAAAAATATAATAATATAATTAAAATGGGCAAAAAATATAAATAGACATTTCTCAAAAGAAGGCATACAATGGCAAGCAGGCATAGGAAAAGGTGCTCAATATCACTGATCATCAGAGAAATGCAAATCAAAACTACAATGAGATATAATCTCATCTCAGTTAAAATGGCTTATATTCAAAAGACAGGTAATAACAAATGCTGGCGAGGATGTGGAGGAAAGAGAACACTTATATACTGTTAGTGCGAATGTCAATTAGTACTACCACTATGGAGAACAGTTTGGGGGTTCCTCAAAAATCTAAAAATAGAGCTGCCATATGATCCAGCAATCCCACTGCTAAGTATATATCTAGAAGAAAGGAAATCAGTATAGGGAAGGGATATCTGCACCACCATGTTTGTTGCAACACTGTTCATAGTAGCCAAGATTTGGAAGCAACCTAAGTGTCCATCGACAGATGAATGGATAAAGGAAATGTGCTGCATATACACAATGGAGTATTATTCAGCCATTAAAAGAATGTGATCTTGTCATTGCAACATGGGTGGAACTGGAAGTCATTACATTAAGTGAAATAAGCCAAGCACAGCAAGACAAACTTTATATGTTCTCATTTATTTGTTGGGTCTAAAAATAAAAAACAATTGAACTCATGGAGGCAGAGAATAGAACGATGGTCACTAAAGTCTGGGAAGGGTCGTGGGGGCTGGGGAAAGAAGTAGGGGTGGTCAATGGATACAAAAAAAAAAAGTGGTTAGAAAGAATGAATAAGACCTAGTATTTGATAGCACATCAGGGGGACTATAGTCAATAATAATTTAATTGTACATTTTAAAATAACTGAAAGACTATAACTGGTTTGTTTGTAACACAAAGGATAAATGCTTATTAGGATAAATACCCCATTTACCACAGTGTGATTATTACACATTACATGCCTGTATCAAAGTATCTTATGTAACCTGCAAATATATACACTTACTATGTACCCACAAAAATGTATATAAAAAGAATACAAAATGAGACATTACTGCAAGTCCTATAGATATTAAATTATAACAAGTAAATATAATAACCAATGTATACTAATAGATTTATTTAATCTTTTAAGATTTTTAAAAATTATATATAAATATATTTATATATTATATATATTTTTTATATATTACATATATATATACTTGGGGTTTTTTTTTGAGATGAGGGTCTCGCTTTGTCACCCAGGATGGAGTACAGTGGCCTAATCTTAGCTCACTGCAATTTCCACCTCCCGGGCTCAAGCAACCCTCCTACTTCATCCTCCTGAATAGCTGGGATCACAGACACTTACCACGAAACCTGGCTAACTTTTCATATTTTTTGTAGAGACAGGGTTTTACCGTGTTGCTCAGGCTGGTCTTGAATTCCTGAGACAAAGAGATGAGCCTGCCCCAGCCTCCCGAAGTGCTGGGATTGCAGGTGTGAGCCACTGTGCCCAGACTATTTTTAATATATTTTTATTTTTATTATTATTTCAATAGTTTTGGGAGAATAGGTGGTGTTTGGTTACATGGATAAGTTCTTTAGGTGTGATTTCTGAGATTTTGGTGCACCCATCACCTAAGCAGTGTACATTGCACCCAATGTGTAGTCTTTTATCCCTCACCACCCTCCCACCCTTTCCCCCAAGTCCCCATAGTCCATTATATCATTCTTAAGCACTCTCATAGCTTAGCTCCCACTTATAAGTAAGAATATATGATGTTTAGTTTTCCATTCCTGAGTAAGTTTTTTAAACTTAGATTAAAAAGTACAAGTTCCTTGAAAAAAACACAAATTATTAAAAATGCCTCAAGAAGAAATTTTTAAATCCTCACAGTCCTCTATCCATTTAATAAATTGAATTTATAATTTAATGTATTTCCACAAAGAAAATGCTGAGCCCAGATGGTTTCATTGGTAAATTCTAACATATAAGAAAAAAAATTATGTCAATCATAAACACTCTTTCAGAAAAAGATGAGTAGAAAATACCTCCTGATTCTTTATATGAAGTCAATATTACCCTCATTCTTAAAACAGAGACATTACGAAAAGAAAAGAAAATGCAGCATATAAATACATCTCATGAATATAGACTCAAAAATCTTCCAAAAAATTCTAGCAAATTAAATCCAATAGTAAATAAAAAAGACAGCACATTATGACTACATGTGATTTATCCCAGGAAAAGAAAATAATGCTGCAGAAAATACATCTATTGACACAGAAATACACTTACAAGGCCAGGCGTGGTGGCTCACACCTGTAATCCCAGTACTTTGGGAGGCCGAGGCAGGTGGGTCACGATGTCAGGAGTTCGAGACCAGCCTGGCCAGCACAGTGAAATCCCATCTCTACTAAAAATACAAAAAATTAGCCCGGCGTGGTGGTGGGCACGTGTAATCACAGCTGCTTTGGAGGCTGAGGCAGGAGAATTGCTTGAATATGGGAGGCAGAGGTTGCAGTGAGCCGAGATCGCGCCATTGCACTCCAGCCCAGGAGACAGTGCAAGATTCCATCTCCAAAAAAAAAGGGAGAGAGAAATACACTTACAATAAAACTACAGGAAAATATCAGGCCACAAAAAGTGTATCATGCTACATAATCTCTTTGAGGAGAAAATTCATAAATGTGTACAAATAGAAAAAAATCTCAGTGACTTCCCTAGGTTTGATGCAACTATCTGATCCAAACCTAGAACAATGTTTTATGTAAAAATAAATAATTAAAAAGATATAATTGAGGTCAAGAAACAAGAGTTACCAAGAACATAAGTGTAAAGTTATGAGAGTGGTTGAAACCAAACATGCACAGAGCTCTGTGTCCTGAAGCACCATGTAACAGCTGAGAGTCCACCACTGTGAGCTAAGGAGAGTAGAAAAGTTTCATGTAAGACAGTATTGTCTGCATCATTGCTTGAAAAGAGACTTCTCTCTCAGTCCCTGTCATCATGAAAGGAGGCTGACCTGTGTGTCTAGAACAGACATGAGCTTGTGACCTAAAGATAAACTAAGCCACCTTAGGTTTGTTTTGGGTTGACTTCCCCAGAAGCGAAGTCTGAGATGAGGTGATCAATTTACTGAAAGCGTTCTTTCAGGAGAAACCCATAATGGAGTGAGGAAAGCAGAACAGTGTAGAAGCAGCAGCTAGGCATATCATTTTAGGAAAAGCATGATCCCGCAGGGAGCTCTGAAATTTAAAATGTGTCAAAGATTGTCTTGTCCAGAAGAAGGAGGGAGAAGCTCTTACACTCTTGCTTCAGTCAGTCATTGGCCATATGCCAACTCCCAAAGTGAAGTTGTGAATCCTTCAGAAAACAAAAGATAAAAAACTTCTATCAGTCAAAGATAATCTTTTAGAAAAGAATACAAGTGTGATCTATTAGCAATCAACACCCAGAGCAGCTGGGTGGGGCACCAACAGCAATAGCATCTGCTACAGTGGGTGGTTCTATCTGTGATATCCTGACTTATGGTAGGAGCAGGAGCTCCAAAATGCCATTACAAAACTTGATTCTAAATGGTAAGGCTTAGGAAATCCAGGCAGAAACAATCACAAAACTACAAAAAACAGAGTGAACACAGAGGTTTGTGTGTGAGGTAACAGGAATAAAAATAAAACACTAAATAAATCAATAAAACACTCGCACACAATGATATTTTATACCAAAATCCACTACACATAAAGAAATCAAATGCTAACAAAGATAGCAAAAAAACCAACAATCAGGACACAGATTCACTCCAAATAAAATTAATGTTATGCAGCAATCTGACAAAGACTTTCAAATAAGTTTTCTTAAGACTCTCAAATAACTAAAAAAAAAAATCCAAGGAAGAAAAATAAATAAGCAACAAAAATGAAAATGAAACAGGAAAAATAGGAGGATGAAAAAGAATAAGTTTCTGGGTATGTACCCAAGGGAATAGAAATCATTCTACGAAAAAGACACATGCACACATATATTCATTGCAGCACTATTCACAATAGCAAAAACATGGAATCAACCTAAATGCCCATCAACAGTGAACTGAATAAATAAAATGTGATACATATATACAATGGGATCCTATGCAGCCATAAAAAAGAACAAAATCATGCCCTTTGCAGCAATGTGCATAGAACCAGAAGCCATTATACTAAGCAAAATAATGCCAGAACAGAAAACCAAATACAGCGTGTTCTCACTTGTAAATGGGAGCTAGACATTGCATACACATGAACACAAAGAAGGGAACAATAGACACCAGAGCCTACTTGAGGGTGGAAGGTGGGAGGAGGGTGAGGGTTGAAAAACTACCTGTTGGGTACTATGCTCATTACCTGAGTGACAAAATAATCTGCACATCAAACCGCTGTGATGTGCAATTTACCCATGTAACAAACCTGCACATGTACCCCTTCGAAACTAAGACAAAAGGAAAAATGAAATAGAGACTAAAAAAGATACAAAATATTAATAAAATGAAGTTGTTTTTTTAAAAGGATAAACTGCTAGCTAAGGCACCAAGAAAAATAGAAGACCCAAATAAACAAAATCAGAAATGAAAAAGAAGACATTACAACTGATACTACAAATACACAAAAGATCATCATAGATTATTATAAATAACTCTACACTAACAAACTGAAAAACCTACAGGAAATGGATAAATAGTGGACACATACAACCTACCAAGATTTAACCAGG
Source organism: Homo sapiens (assembly GCF_000001405.40). NCBI lineage: Eukaryota > Metazoa > Chordata > Mammalia > Primates > Hominidae > Homo > Homo sapiens. Next base: position 34,695,760 of record NC_000011.10, on the reverse strand, counting down.
AAGAAACAGAAAGCCTGAACAGACCAATAATGGGGAATAAGATTGAATCAGTAATAAAAACTCTCTCAACAAAGAAAAACCCTGGCCTGGATGGCATTACTGCTGAAATCTACCAAACTTATAAAGAAGAACTAATGCCAATTCTTCTCAAGCTCTTCCAGAAAATTGAAAAGGAGGAAATTCTTCTACACTCATTCTATGAGGCCAACATTACCTTGATACCAAAACTAGACAAGGGCACAACAAAAAAAGGAAAACTACAGGCCAATATTCCTAATGAACATAAATGCAAAAATCCTCAACAGAATACTAGCAAATTAAATCCATAATGGCATCAAAAAGATAATATACCATGATCAAGTGGAATTTATCTAGGAATGAAAGGATGGTTTGACCTACACAAATCAATGAACATGATACATCACATCAACAGAATGAAGGACAAAAACCACTTTTTATATTGATCATTTCAATATACGCAGAAAAAGCATTTGATAAAATCAACATCTTTTTATGATAAAAACTCTAAACAAATTAGGCATAGAAGAAACAGACATCAACATAATAAAAGCCATATATGATAAACCCACAGCTAACATCATACTGAATGGGGAAAAGCTGAAAGCCTTTTCTCTAAGAACTAGAGTAAGACAAGGTTGCCCATTTTCACCACTCTTATTCAACATTGTGTTACAAGTCCTAACTAGAGCAATCAGGCAAGAGAAAGAAATAAAAGGAATTTTAATCAAGAAAGAAGAAGTCAAATTGTCCTATGTTGCAGATGATATGATATAGAAAAACCTAAAGGCTCTACCAAAAACTTCCTAGAACTGATAAACTCAGTAAAGTTGCAGGATACAAAATTAACATACAAAAATCAATGATGTTTCTATACACCAGTAACAAACTGTGTGCAAAAGCAATTCCATTTATAATAGCTACAAAAAATTAAAATACCTAGGAATAATTTTAACCAAGGAGGTAAAAAGCATCCTTTTTGTAGTAAGACTACAAAACACTGTCTAAAGAAATTGAAGAAGACACAAAAAAATGAAGAGCTACACCATGCTCCTGGGTCAGAGGAATTAATATTGTTAAAATGGCCATACTACCCAAAGCAGTCTACAAATTCAATGCAATCCCTATCAAAATACCAATAAAATTAGTGACAAAAATAGAAAAAAATCCAAAATTATGGAAAAGCAAAAGAGCTCAAGTAGAAAAAGCAATCCTGAACTAACAGAATAAAGCTAGAGGTATCATACTATCTGACTTCAAATATACTACACAGCTATAGTAACCAAAACAGCATGTCATGAGTATAAAGATAGACACACAGACCAATGGAGTAATATAGAGAATCCAGAAATAAATCCACATAATTACAGCCAACTAATTTTTGACAAAGACACCAAGAACATGGGGGGAAGAACACCCTATTCAATAAATAGTGCTAGAAAAACTAGATATAAGTATACAGGAGAATAAATATTAAATCCAAAACTATTTTAACGACAGTAATAGATTATGACCACAAATAGTTTATCTTAAGACTACAAGGATAGTTCAACATCAGGAAATTAACCAGTTATGATCTAAACTATTAGATGCAACGATAGAACAGCATATTATCTCGATATGTACAGAAAAAGCACCCAATATAATTCTCCATTCATTCATGATTTAAATATAAAAACCTCTTATTAAACTAGGAGTAAAAGTAAACTTCATCAGATTAATAAGCAGTATCTATTAAACACCTGTAGCAAACATCACACTTAAAATGGAACGCTTTAGAAGTATTGTCTTGTCAGGAACAAGACCATGATTCTTTATTGCCCCTTCTATTTAACTCTGCCTTGGATACCTAAGTTAATCACACAAATCAAGAAAATAAATAAATTTAAAATTGAAGTCAAATCTGTTCTTATTTTTAGAAGATATGGTTGAATTACATAGAAAACTTGAAAGTCATTTTAAAATATATGAGAACTAATAAAATAACTTAGCAAGATTTTTGAACATTAGGTCAACATATCAAAATTAGTAGTTTACTCATAAATAAGTAATAATTAGAAAAATGGAATAGAAAAAATTCCCACTTACAAAACTGCAAAAATATGCAAAGCATTTAGGAATAAATCTAAAAAAAAGTGAAAGTTTCATGATGAAAATTATAAAACATTATTAAAAGAAAGATCTAGATAAATGAAGATATTTGCCATAGTTATATGTGAGAAGACAGAAAATCTTAAAGACATTAATTATTCCCAAATTAAATTGTTAAAATCAATGCAATTCCAAATAAAATTTTGGTAGGGTTTCTCACTCAATTTCACAATTTGATCCTAAAAAGCATGCAAGAGAAGAAAGGGCCAAGAATAGAAGACAAAAAGCTGGACGAATTATGAAATATGCACCTGGCATAGGAACAGATCAATGAATAATTAGAACCAAATAAAGAGCCTAAAAACAGACCTAGCCATATGGGGAAATACACTATAGATGAATATGGTGTCATCAAGTATAACAGAATGAATAGATTATTTAGTGAAAGTTTGGGAGAGTTGATTATTTATGTAGAAGACAGAAATTAAAATTAACTCCCTGCACAATTAAAATTAACACCATACACAAAAAGGTTCTGGATGAATTAAAAATCTAAATGTGAAAAGCAAAAACTGTAAAATTTTATAACTGAGGAGCATGTATGTATGACCTCAGCATAGAAAATATTTATTTCTTAAACACAACATAAGTACAGGCCATAAAGGAAAACATTTAAGGTTAAATACATCAAAATTAATAACTTCTGCACAACAAAAGATATTTCAGTCAAAATAAAAGGTTATCTATGGTATAGATACTTACAAAGTATATAACTAGAAAAGATTCATCTCCAGAGTCTGTTTTTAAAAATGCCTACAATTCAAGATGGCCGAATAGGAACAGCTCCGGTCTACAGCTCCCAGCGTGAGCGACGCAGAAGATGGTGATTTCTGCATTTCCATCTGAGGTACTGGGTTCATCTCACTAGGGAGTGCCAGACAGTGGGCGCAGGTCAGTGGGTGCGCGAACCGTGCACGAGCCGAAGCAGGGCGAGGCACTGCCTCACTTGGGAAGCACAAGGGGTCAGGGAGTTCCCTTTCCGAGTCAAAGAAAGGGGTGACGGACGGCACCTGGAAAATCGGGTCACTCCCACCCGAATACTGCGCTTTTCCGACGGGCTTAAAAAACGGCGCACCACGAGATTATATCCCACACCTGTCTTGGAGGGTCCTACGCCCACGGAGTCTCGCTGATTGCTAGCACAGCAGTCTGAGATCAAACTGCAAGGCGGCAGCGAGGCTGGGGGAGGGGCGCCCGCCATTGCCCAGGCTTGATTTGGTAAACAAAGCAGCTGGGAAGCTCGAACTGGGCGGAGCCCACCACAGCTCAAGGAGGCCTGCCTGCCTCTGTAGGCTCCACCTCTGGGGGCAGGGCACAGACAAACAAAAAGACAGCAGTAACCTCTGCAGACTTAAATGTCCCGTCTGACAGCTTTGAAGAGAGCAGTGGTTCTCCCAGCACGCAGCTGGAGATCTGAGAATGGGCAGACTGCCTCCTCAAGTGGGTCCCTGACCCCTGACCCCTGAGCAGCCTAACGGGGAGGCACCCCCCAGCAAGGGCACACTGACACCTCACAGGGCAGGGTATTCCAACAGACCTGCAGCTAAGGGTCCTGTCTGTTAGAAGGAAAACTAACAAACAGAAAGGACATCCACACCAAAAACCCATCTGTACATCACCATCATCAAAGACCAAAAGTAGATAAAACCACAAAGATGGGAAAAAAACAGAACAGAAAAACTGGAAACTCTAGAAAGCAGAGCACCTCTCTTCCTCCAAAGGAATGCAGTTCCTCACCAGCAACGGAACAAAGCTGGATGGAGAATGACTTTGACGAGCTGAGAGAAGAAGGCTTCAGACGATCAAATTACTCTGAGCTACGGGAGGACATTCAAACCAAAGGCAAAGAAGTTGAAAACTTTGAAAAACATTTAGAAGAATGTATAACTAGAATAACCAATACAGAGAAGTGCTTAAAGGAGCTGATGGAGCTGAAAACCAAGGCTCGAGAACTACGTGAAGAATGCAGAAGCCTCAGGAGCCTATGCGATCAACTGGAAGAAAGGGTATCAGCGATGGAAGATGAAATGAATGAAATGAAGCGAGAAGGGAAGTTTAGAGAAAAAAGAACAAAAAGAAATGAGCAAAGCCTCCAAGAAATATGGGACTATGTGAAAAGACCAAATCTACGTCTGATTGGTATACCTGAAAGTGATGAGGAGAATGGAACCAAGTTGGAAAACACTCTGCAGGATATTATCCAGGAGAACTTCCCCAATCTAGCAAGGCAGACCAACGTTCAGATTCAGGAAATACAGAGAACGCCACAAAGATACGCCTCGAGAAGAGCAACTCCAAGCACCATTTATTAAATAGGGAATCCTTTCCCCATTGCTTGTTTTTCTCAGGTTTGTCAAAGATCAGATAGTTGTAGATATGCGGCATTATTTCTGAGGGCTCTGTTCTGTTCCATTGGTCTATATCTCTGTTTTGGTACCAGTACCATGCTGTTTTGGTTACTGTAGCCTTGTAGTATAGTTTGAAGTCAGGTAGCGTGATGCCTCCAGCTTTGTTCTTTTGGCTTAGGATTGACTTGGCGATGCGGGCTCTTTTTTGGTTCCATATGAACTTTAAAGTAGTTTTTTCCAATTCTGTGAAGAAAGGCATTGGTAACTTGATGGGGATGGCATTGAATCTGTAAATTACCTTGGGCAGTATGGCCATTTTCATGATATTGATTCTTCCTACCCATGAGCATGGAATGTTCTTCCATTTGTTTGTATCCTCTTTTATTTCCTTGAGCAGTGGTTTGTAGTTCTCCTTGAAGATCTACCAAGCAAATGGAAAACAAAAAAAGGCAGGGGTTGCAATACTAGTCTCTGATAAAACAGACTTTAAACCAACAAAGATCAAAAGAGACAAAGAAGGCCATTACATAATGGTAAAGGGATCAATTCAACAAGAAGAGCTAACTATCCTAAATATATATGCACCCAATACAGGAGCACCAAGATTCATAAAGCAAGTCCTGAGTGACCTACAAAGAGACTTAGACTCCCACACATTAATAATGGGAGACTTTAACACCCCACTGTCAACATTAGACAGATCAATGACACAGAAAGTCAACAAGGATACCCAGGAATTGAACTCAACTCTGCACCAAGCGGACCTAATAGACATCTACAGAACTCTCCACCCCAAATCAACAGAATATACATTTCTTTCAGCACCACACCTATTCCAAAATTGACCACATACTTGGAAGTAAAGCTCTCCTCAGCAAATGTAAAAGAACAGAAATTATAACAAACTCTCTCTCAGACCACAGTGCAATCAAACTAGAACTCGGGATTAAGAATCTCACTCAAAACTGCTCAACTACATGGAAACTGAACAACCTGCTCCTGAATGACTACTGGGTACATAACGAAATGAAGGCAGAAATAAAGATGTTCTTTGAAACCAATGAGAACAAAGACACAACATACCAGAATCTCTGGGATGCATTCAAAGCAGTGTGTAGAGGGAAATTTATAGCACTAAATGCCCACAAGATAAAGCAGGAAAGATCCAAAATTGACACCCTAACATCACAATTAAAAGAACTAGAAAAGCAAGAGCAAACACATTCAAAAGCTAGCAGAAGGCAAGAAATAACTAAAATCAGAGCAGAACTGAAGGAAATAGAGACACAAAAAACCCTTCAAAAAATTAATGAATCCAGGAGCTGGTTTTTTGAAAGGATCAACAAAATTGATAGACTGCTAGCAAGACTAATAAAGAAAAAAAGAGAGAAGAATCTAATAGACGCAATAAAAAATGATAAAGGGGATATCACCACCGATCCCACAGAAATACAAACTACCATCAGAGAATACTACAAACACCTCTATGCAAATAAACTAGAAAATCTAGAAGAAATGGATAAATTCCTCGACACATACGCTCTCCCAAGACTAAACCAGGAAGAAGTTGAATCTCTGAATAGACCAATAACAGGATCTGAAATTGTGGTAATAATCAATAGCTTACCAAAAAAAAGAGTCCAGGACCAGATGGATTCACAGCTGAATTCTACCAGAGGTACAAGGAGGAACTGGTACCATTCCTTCTGAAACTATTCCAATCAATAGAAAAAGAGGGAATCCTCCCTAACTCATTTTATGAGGCCAGCATCATTCTGATACCAAAGCCGGGCAGAGACACAACAAAAAAAAGAGAATTTTAGACCAATATCCTTGATGAACATTGATGCAAAAATCCTCAATAAAATACTGGCAAAATGAATCCACCAGCACATCAAAAAGCTTATCCATCATGATCAAGTGGGCTTCATCCCTGGGATGCAAGGCTGGTTCAATATATGCAAATCAATAAATGTAATCCAGCATATAAACAGAGCCAAAGACAAAAACCACATAATTATCTCAATAGATGCAGAAAAAGCCTTTGACAAAATTCAACAACCCTTCATGCTAAAAACTCTCAATAAATTAGGTATTGATGGGACGTATTTCAAAATAATAAGAGCTATCTATGACAAACCCACAGCCAATATCATACTGAATGGGCAAAAACTGGAAGCATTCCCTTTGAAAACTGGCACAAGACAGGGATGCCCTCTCTCACCACTCCTATTCAACATAGTGTTGGAAGTTCTGGCCAGGGCAATTAGGCAGGAGAAGGAAATAAAGGGTATTCGATTAGGAAAAGAGGAAGTCAAATTGTCCCTGTTTGCAGATGACATGATTGTATATCTAGAAAACCCCACTGTCTCAGCCCAAAATCTCCTTCAGCTGATAAGCAACTTCAGCAAAGTCTCAGAAAACAAAATCAATGGACAAAAATCACAAGCATTCTTATACACCAGCAACAGAGAAACAGAGAGCCAAATCATGAGTGAACTCCCATTCACAACTGCTTCAAAGAGAATAAAATACCTAGGAATCCAATTTACAAGGGATGTGAAGGACCTCTTCAAGGAGAACTACAAACCACTGCTCAAGGAAATAAAAGAGGATACAAACAAATGGAAGAACATTCCATGCTCATGGGTAGGAAGAATCAATATCGTGAAAATGGCCATACTGCCCAAGGTAATTTACAGATTCAATGCCATCCCCATCAAGTTACCAATGCCTTTCTTCACAGAATTGGAAAAAACTACTTTAAAGTTCATATGGAACCAAAAAAGAGCCCGCATCGCCAAGTCAATCCTAAGCCAAAAGAACAAAGCTGGAGGCATCACGCTACCTGACTTCAAACTATACTACAAGGCTACAGTAAACAAAACAGCATGGTACTGGTACCAAAACAGAGATATAGACCAATGGAACAGAACAGAGCCCTCAGAAATAATGCCGCATATCTACAACTATCTGATCTTTGACAAACCTGAGAAAAGCAAGCAATGGGGAAAGGATTCCCTATTTAATAAATGGTGCTGGGAAAACTGGCTAGCCATATGTAGAAAGCTGAAACTGGATCCCTTCCTTACACCTTATACAAAAATCAATTCAAGATGGATTAAAGACTTAAACGTTAGACCTAAAACCATAAAAACTCTAGAAGAAAACCTAGGCATTGCCATTCAGGACATAGGCATGGGCAAGGACTTCATGTCTGAAACACCAAAAGCAATGGCAACAAAAGACAAAATTGACAAATGGGATCTAGTTAAACTAAAGAGCTTCTGCACAGCAAAACAAACTACCATCAGAGTGAACAGGCAACCTACAAAATGGGAGAAAATTTTCGCAACCTACTCATCTGACAAAGGGCTAATATCCAGAATCTACAATGAACTCAAACAAATTTACAAGAAAAAAACAAACAACCCCATCAAAAAGTGGGCAAAGGACATGAACAGACACTTCTCAAAAGAAGACATTTATGCAGCCAAAAAACACATGAAAAAATGCTCATCATCACTGGCCATCAGAGAAACGCAAATCAAAACCACAATGAGATACCATCTCACACCAGTTAGAATGGCAATCATTAAAAAGTCAGGAAACAACAGGTGCTGGAGAGGATGTGGAGAAATAGGAACACTTTTACACTGTTGGTGGGACTGTAAACTAGTTCAACCATTGTGGAAGTCAGTGTGGCGATTCCTCAGGGATCTAGAACTAGAAATACCATTTGACCCAGCCATCCCATTACTGGGTATATACCCAAAGGACTATAAATCATGCTGCTGTAAAGACACATGGACACATATGTTTATTGTGGCATTATTCACAATAGCAAAGACTTGGAACCAACCCAAATGTCCAACAATGATAGACTGGATTAAGAAAATGTGGCACATATACACCATGGAATACTATGCAGCCATAAAAAATGATGAGTTCATGTCCTTTGTAGGGACATGGATGAAATTGGAAAACATCATTCTCAGTAAACTATCGCCAAGAACAAAAAATCAAACACCGCATATTCTCACTCATAGGTGGGAATTGAACAATGAGATCACATGGACACAGGAAGGGGAATATCACACTCTGGGGACTGTTGTGGGGTGGGGGGAGGGGGGAGGGATAGCATTGGGAGATATACCTAATGCTAGATGACGAGTTAGTGGGTGCAGTGCACCAGCATGGCACATGTATACATATGTAACTAACCTGCACAATGTGCACATGTACCCTAAAACTTAAAGTATAATTAAAAAAAAAAAAAGACTACAGATTGGGGCAGTGTACACCGCTCGGATGATGGGCGCATCAAAATCTCACAAATCACCACTAAAGAGCTTACTCATGTAACTAAACACCACCTGTTCACCAATAACCTATGGAAATAAAAAATTTAAATAAATACATTAAACTTCCAAACACCCCATCTCCAAATACGATCACATTAAGGGTTAAAGCTTCAACATACGAAACTGGGTAGGGAACTGGGTAGGGAGTGGGGCACAGAATTCAGTTTATAGCATCCCCCAGGTCAGAAATAAATAAATAAATATAAACAGGCAATTCACAGGAAAGAAAACCTGAGAAGACAATAAATATATGAAAATGTGCTCAAACTCATTAATATCTGCAGAATGCAAATTATAACACTAATGAGAAAACATTTCACATCCATCAAATTTATGAAAATTCAAAAGTTTGGCAATGCCAAGTGTTGGTAAGGATATGCTGGTAGGAGGGTAAATTAATACTATTACTTTGAAAAACAATTTGGCATTATCTAGGAACTCTGAAGATGCTCATACTCTCTCCAAAATAGTGTTTTAGAGAAACTCTAACTCTTGTGCATGAGGAAACATGTGTAATAATGTCCATTGCAGCTGTTTTCCTGGGAGCAAACATTTGGAAATGATTTAAATATCTATCAATAGAAATGAATAAATTTCAATATATTTTCTGGAATGGAATATGTTTAATGGAACACTTAAAATAAATGTGGAAAACTTCAAATTGAGAGAACAACAAATACTAATATTGATAAAACACACACTGCAGAATGATACAGACATAGGACCATTCAGATAAAATCTTAAAATGTGCAAAATTTTGCTATTTACAGTTTAGGGATGCATACATAGATAGTAAAAGTATAAAATAAGCATGAGTACTCAGAAGAGAAGCAGAAGAATAGGACCGGCGCAATGGTACCCTGTGGTCTCCAATTGTATCTTTCATTGTAACTCTGTTTCCCAAAAAGAAAGAAAAACTCTATATATTTTCTATGTTTGAAATATTTCACAATTATTTTAAAATCTAAAAGGAAAACTAAAATTAAAGTTTTAACAGATTTCTTTTCCTTTTTCATCGTTGTGGTTGTTCAGAAAGGCCAATTCATTTTTTTCTGAATATAAAATAATTAGGCTTTCTTTTTATCTGAATATTGTGTGACTGTGTGTGTGTGTGTGTGTGTGTGTGTGTGTGTGGTGTAGCACTTAATTCTTTAGTAATAACAATGAAAGTTAGCGTAATTGGAAAATTTGTTTCTCCATCAATCATTTAGAATGTTTGGTGGAAAAGTGATTTTTCTGGACTATGCAGATAACTATCTCATCAAGGCCTTGACATGTGTGGACATGACCTCACCCATGGTGGTTTCCAGGATTTGGATGGGAACCAGTTTCCGCCTATTTCACCACCTCAGGAGAAATGCGAGGTATTCTTCCCGGGGGCACCCAGTCAGCGCTGCATCTACCCGAGAGTCCCTGCCCAGCCATGCAATCATTTCTGAAACTAATGAGATCAGCAGCTTTTCACGAAACCATGAGTCATACCTATTGGTGAGGCTTTCCAGGCTTGAGGAGTGCCTTGAAGTGCCGGCTTCACCAGATGTTCTGGCATCACCAATCCTTCCCCTAATTCTGAGTGCCACATCTGACCCACTGCCAACGGTCACAAGGTCGCCAGCGGCCAAAAATCACCTTGGGCTTCAGGTAAGGACCTGTAAAATCAAGGCAATACCAACTAAAATTCCAGCTGGATTGTTTTCAAGGAACTTGATCATCTAAAATTTATATTGGTTCACAAATTACCAAGACAACATTAACTTTAAGACATATTAGAGACTGATAATGAAAACAGTGTGGTAATGTTTCAAAAACAAATTAGCCAACAGAAGAGAAAAAATTAGTGTCGGACAAATAGATAATAGATTACGCATTCATTGAGAGACACTTTGTTTAATAAATATTGAGAAACTAGAAAACTGAAATTAATGAAATCCTCATTGAACTCCTTAAACAAGGATAGATTCTAGATTAATTAAAGGCCTAAATGTGAGCTATAAAACTAAAATAATTAGAAGAAAATGTAGAATATTTTTGTGACCTAGGGGCTTGTGGCAGGGAAAGAGAGAGCATCAATAAAACTTCCAGAGCACAAACCCAATGGCAATGAAAAAAAACCCTTGAAAGATTTGACTATAACAAAACTGTGGATTTTTGTTCATTGAAGGACATCATGAAAAAAAAATAGGGGAATGACAGTATTTAAAAGGAAAGTGAGAGAGCACCTCAGAAGATATTTGTAATCTCTAAAACCAATATCTAAAATATTCAAACAAATTCAATAAATTTCCCCAAATACAATAGCCCCAATAAGAAAATAGAGGGTATGAAAAGACAATTTGAAGAAGAGGAAACACAGAAGATTACTTAGTATATTAAAGTCATTCAAAATTACTAGTAGTCAGAGGAAAGCTGTTTTTAAATGTAATGTTTTCAATTGATAAATAAAAAGTATATATATGTATGGTGTACAAAATGATGTTTTGAAATATGTATAGATTTGTGGAATGGCTAAACTCAGCTAGTTACCATATATTAGCTCCACATACCATTTTTTGTGGTAAGAACACTTAAAATCCACTCTCTTAGCAATTTTCAAGTACACAATACATTGTTATTAACTATAGTCACCGTGTTTAGAGAAAAGTAATTTAAAACAAGGAGATATCACTTTCTACCTTCTGAACCAACAACAATCCCAAGCTGGACAGTGGAAGTGTTGATGAGGATGAGATGCCACAAGAAAGTTCATTACTGTGGGTGGGAGTTAGGACCCAAAGATTCCAGGTGTACATCCCAACGAATTCTTTACCCAACCCCACAGGAGACCATGTACAACAAACACATTAAACAGAATGGTCACCCATGGTAAGAGGCATGGAAACTGGAGTGAGTAGGAAAATAAAAGACAGTACATAAACATGTAAAATTTAAAAAGAAATGCTTCAGGGCCTAATAATAATTATGTTTCATAAATTGTGGAGTGTGATCACCTCTGCAGCTGAGAATATTCTTGCCCTGTAAGTGCTCATTATCTCATGGAGAAAAATATACTACACATGTCAAATAAATTTTATATATATATATTATATATATATATATATCTCATATATATAAGGAATTATGGTGTCTGGTAAAGAGATGTCCAATATACAGATGTTTGTAGTAAGCCAGGCAAACTGTGATAAAAAAGCCATAACACAGAGTGTATTACAACATAATGTAGAGTGACCAACATCTACTTTTGCAAAGACTGAACTCATTATAATTCTTCCTCTGGGGGTATGTTAATGGCACAGTTTACACAATGGAAAAATCTAGGCATAAATTGTCTGAGACAATGCATCCTAGATGCATCTGTACAGATTTATGGAAATGCATTAAGAGTACCTAGTTTTTTGCAATTTTCATCAGCAAATTGAACCACACATTGATAATGAGAGATAGCACTTTGAACACATCGCCTATTGTCTGTAATATCAATAAAACATTTGTTATATATATTTTTCTATGTTTCTAGCCTTTATGAACACCCTGTAGAAGAGCACAGTACCCAGAGAAAATAAATAATTCCTATGTTCTTTTTCCCTCCATCTCTAGAGTTTCTCACCCACCATGTTTTAATGCTTGCTCCTACCTTATTTATATAGTGAATATATTGAAATAAAAGAAATGCCACGAATAGGAGAACAATCAAGCCCATCATTTTTCCCACTTGAAAGAAAATTATATGGTCATTAAAAATAACATTAAAGTAGAAGAAGACTGAGAGCACTAAGGAGGAGATGAGGCATCTTGGCCAGGAATACAGACAGATTTAAGAGCAGAGCTCAGGTTTTCCCTGGTGAGTCATTTGGTTGGTATCCTCAATGCTTTATCCCAACTGCATACCTCTACCAATCCTTTGGGAATTCCAAATGGCCATTGACAATAGCAGGTCACGCATGGAGAAAAAAAAGAAAATAAAATATGTTTTCAAAACTGATTGGGTAAAGGCATAGAGATTTGTAGAGGTATAAAAAGTAATCCTAGATTAATACAACTAAGTTTCATTTATGCTAAGGTGCCATTAATTGTAAGATCCTCCATATTTCATGTATCATTAAGTAAGAAAAAACACTTTCAATTAAACTATCACATAATATCATCCTTGAAAAAATAGTAATACATGTTTAGCAGCCTGGCAAGCCTGGATTTACATCCCAACTGTTCCACTTTTAGCTGTGTGGCTGTGAACAAATGAACTAACTTTTCTAAGCCTCAGTGTTAGCCTTTGTAATATAAAAACAGTAATAGTACCTACTAATTTATGTGGAGATTAAATGGGATAGTGGATCTCATATAGTGTTTAGCATGGTGTCTAGCACATACTGATTATCAATACTTAAAATATATTAGCTATTTTAATATTAAAGTTTATAGTAATATGCAAAGTGCTTAGGGTATAATGATAATGAAAAGACAGGATACAAAATTATGCTGTAATTTAATCTCAACTACGTTTTAAAAAAGTAATGCATAGAACAAGGGCTGGAAAGAAATATACAAAATTGTTAGCACATATGTTAAGACATAAAATATATACTTGAGAGGTAAAACTATCGATATTTTTCTATTTTATATTTATTTTTTTCTCGTTTCCTAACTTCTCTATAATATTAATTTTAATGAGAAATATGTATTTTTATGACTTACTCCTAGATCCTTCTTTTATACCCAAATACCACTATTGAATGAGTAAACTAATGCACCCCACTGTAAGGTAAATAAATGTGCCTGTAAAACATCCATCCTACCACTTCTCATTCCAGCCCAAGGACAGATCTCTCTCACAGAGTCCTACCTGAGAGTCCCTCTCAACACATTAGTTTAGCTCTTTCCTTCTTTTGAAATAGTATGATGGGTGAAGCCTATCCCTGATCACATCAGTTATTTTTTCCCAGGATATTTACATGTTAATAATGATCAAAACTTTAAGCAAAAGACAAAAAACTCAAGGTAGAATTCTAAGTGGCCCATATTTGGGAAAGGAGATTTAGAAGGAGAGGTTTTTCAATCCCAACAACTTCATTTTCCTTTACCAAAAGATTGTAAGATTAATGACAGGGTACCATGTCTTAAGCTTATGGTGAAAGTCCAGATTTTCCTAAATAGTCAATAATGTTAAATACTCTACCGCTTGTGCTGGTCAGGAAACATGTTCCAACCTTGGTTTTGCCTCCAGGCTCCCTGAACTCATCTCTTTTTATATTCCAGGCACCTGGCTCTCAACACACTCTAAATCAATTGATTGTCAAATGATTGATTGCTCCTAGCCCAAAAGAGACTTCTTTCTTTCCAAGCAAAGCCATGATTCCCCTTGCTCTCAGACCTCATTCCTCACCTCCTTAATCTACCTTAACAGAATGGCACAGTGCAGGTGGCTGACAAGTGAACTAATTTTCTCAGGCATGTCCTAAGAACCAGTTTCCAGGGAGACAGAATGCGTGGTCAGTACCATGCCATGCCCATGCTTTGGAAAGCCACTGGAAATGACTGGTAGGTGAGTCATGTAGCTTTGTCACTGTGTTTGTTTACAGGGACCAAAGCTATATTTGTGTTTAAGCATGAAAATTAAAGAATCCATCTCAGGAAATAACCAGAGGCTCATATTACTGCAAAGTACCTGCAAAATGTGCTGTGTTGGCTGCAGGTGGAGGTATTCGGGCCTTTGAAACTCCACTAGAAGATAGCAGGCATCTGTTCCCCCATAATGGGTAGTTTACAAAGGGATGTTTACCTATGAAAAGGCCGAAGCAAAGAGGAGATTGTGTCCTTCCACATACTCAGAAGGAGGGATGGGAGGCGGCTCTAGGACAGCCTTTCAAATTGTTGGTTGATGTGGTGGAGAACATGTTTCAGAAAACTTGCATTCAAGTTCCGCTTCTGTCACTTAATGGCCATGAGATCTTGGGTGAGCCTCAACCTGCCTGAGCCTAAGTTTTCATCATTTATAAAACAGGGACAATAATTATAGCATGTTGAGATGAATAATTGAGACAACTTACATTGAGCTCCTGATATGTAGTAGATGCTCACTAAATGTTTCATTCCTTATTCATTTTCTTTCCGTTTTTCCAGGTGTAGAAATGTAGGCTTAGAGAGACACTACGATTCCCCCAAAGGTATCACACATCAATGAATGGTGAATGACAGTCATCCTTTCTCTGTCTGAAAGTGAAAAACCTGGAACTTTAGATTTCAGACTTGAAACATAATATATTTTCTGAAAATTCTTTTTACCATCTCACCTACCAATGCCAGATGGTAGAGCAGGCAGTTGGGACTGACATTGAGGAGGGGAGCCAAGAGAGGAGAAATCTCTACAGAAAACACTTGCTGAGAAATCTCTTAGCTCTGTGGAGTGACATCATCCTCCCCAGCTGGAGAACCAGGTGAAGGCAGCATGTGGGAGGGTCCAACCCAGCATCATTGCATGTGGATGCTCACTGTAGTCATCACTCATGGCTGACCCAACACCATGTCATTGTAACAACAATAACTATAATAATGAAAACTCCCACTTACTGACTGTTTCCTTTGTATCCAGTTACAGGCCAAACATGCCCACCTCGTAGGTTTGTTGTGAAGATGCACTAAGGCAATGTATATAAAACACTTAGCAGAGCTCCTGGCTTCTAGTAAGTGCTCAACAAATGGTAGCTGCCTGTGCTTTACATATATAGGCTCATTTCATCTTTGTAACAACTTTATGAAATGGGCATTACTATCTCTATTTTACCAATGGTGATGCTGAGGCTTAGGTGGATAAAGGAACTTGCCCAAGGTCAAAAATCTAGAAAGCAGTCAACATATAACCCATATATGTTTAAAGCCAAAGCCTGTGCTTTTAGCCATTAGGATATACTGGCTCACAGTCCTGCTTGTGAAAGTTGTGACATGCTGAACATTCTTGGTTTAATGTTGCCTTGGTTTGTCCTTTCCCCAGAAACCTCCCATGGGCACAAGCCCTGCAGCTGAGCCCAGCTGGAGGGAAGCGGATGCTGTATTATACCAAAGGAGGTCTGGCTCCATGCTCACTCTTCATTGCCAGGAGCCTGAGATGGAAGACATTGGCTCAGAAAGAAAGACATTGGAGTGAGCTTTTATAGTAGGGAGCTTAGAGGTCACCTAATCACCAAAAGTCAGTGGACTTGTTTGTTTGTTCCAGTTTGATTTGGTGTCATCTTGCTTTGGAATGTTTTGTTCCAATGAAATTATATAGGAAAGCTCAAAATGTAAAGCCACAGTGGAAGCACTCTGTTGAAAATGAGTGGGAAGCCCAGAGCCTCATCCCTTTTGAGAAGCCAGGCATCACCTCCTTATTCTAGAGGGGTGGCCAAGCACTTGGAGACTAAAGGACTGTGGCCTCAGCATGTGCACAGAGACAGCCTGGGTAGTGGAGCGGACATGGGGCTTTAAAGTCAGACAGCCCAAGGTTCAAATCTCATCTCTGTCTTTTGTGAAGTGTGCAATTTGGTAAAGGAAGATAGCTTTTCTGAACACGTCTTATTGAAAAATAAGCTCTGATCTAAACCTAAGAGGAGAAAAAAAAATGCAGTAATAGATGAAAATATCTTCAGACAGCAAATGCCACTCAGAAGACAGGAACAACTATAAGGCATGAGGTCACCAATTTTGGTTTTTGTTTTGTCTTTCTGGTTTGTTTTGTTTTTGTAGAAAGAAGAAGAAACTTTTTAAGGGTTAAAATGAATAAAGAAAGAATGCCTTAAGATAAGCAAACACAATTACAGAGGCTTAAACGTGCACATCCTTGCCTTGATTCAACATTTACTGTATGCCCAGAAGCGTGTGGTACTGGGATGGAATAAGCAATATGACCTACTACCTGCCTTGGGGGCTAGTGTACCTAACAGTCACAAACACACACACGCGTGCACACACACACACAGAGGGAAAAATTTCAAACTCTTCTCAGTGTGGTAAATTAGGACACCGCAGCAGCTTGGTGTCCTCAATCTTGGGAGTCCCTGTGCTGGTTCCTGTTAGAGCCAGAAAAATACTACAAGTTTCTCATATGGGGCAAGCTTTGTCTAAGGTCTCAACAGCTCAGGACTTAGACTCTGTTTTTTCTGGATCTGGTTTGACCCTGAGATTCATTTATCAGCCTCTGCCTTGATTTTCCCACTCCTGGTATAACAGGATGACTTGAAAAGCCTTTCTTTTCTACCATGAGTGCATTTTCCACCCCTAACCTTGTCTCTGGAAAGAAATACGAGGATCAGAATGCAATAGCTTTTAAAAGGGCACTTCCCTCCAGGTCTCAGATATAAGCTTTCTTAGCTAATATATTGAAATTTATAGATAAAACAGGCTCAGAAGGGAAACAAATGTTCCCATAGCTTCTGGATACATAATAAGCCAGGATTATTGTCTCTTAAGGAAAATAGGCCCAGTCATTGCTGGTGAAGAGGGACCAAACCAAGTCAGGGAGCCCAGAGGCTAATGCTCCTGCCCCTTCTGGCTGAAGGCAGGATGTGGGGAGGAGAAAGAACTGGGGAAACATTAAGATCAAGGCAGATCAAACATTAAGACTGTATTAGTCGTTCTCATGCCGCTGATAAAGACATACCCGAGACTGGGTAATTTATAAAGGAAAGAGGTTTAATGGACTCACAGTTCCATGTGACCGGGGATGCCTCACAATCATGGCAGAAGATGCAGGAAGAACAAAGGGACTTCTTACATGGCAGCAGGCAAAGAGGGCATGTGCAGGGGAACTCCCCTGTGTAATATCATCAGATCTCTTGAGACTTATTCTCTATCACTGAGACTTATTTGCTATCATGTCTTTCCCATGCTGTCCGATATCATGCTATTGGTCAGCATGGGAAGACCCATCCCCATGATTCAATTACCTCCCACTAGGTCCCTCCCATGACACGTGGGAATTATGGGAGCTACAATTCAAGATGAGATTTGGGTGTGGACATAGCCAAACCATATCAAAGACTGAGGCTCATTAACAAGGAAGAGACAAGTGTGGGATCTTGGGAAAGTTACTGAATATCTTGAACTTAGGATGAAAAACCAAATATATGTGCATTAAATTATTCCAAAAATATTTATCAAGCCCCTATAATGAGTATGTTATTAATAGCATCTATTACTGCACAACAAATTATCCCAAAACTTAGCATCTTAAAATAACAAGCATTTATTTTCTCACACAGTTTCTAAGGATCAGGCATCTGGGAGCTGCTTAGCTGGATAGGTCTGGCTCAGTGTCTCCCATGAAGTCACAGTCAAGCTGTTAGCTGGGGCTCCTGTCATAAGAAGGCCCATCAGGGCTGCAGAATTCACTCCCAAGATCACTAATATGGCTATTGGCTGGAGGCCTCAGTTTCCTGTCATGTGGGCCTCTCCATGAGGCGGTTCATAGCATGGCAGCTGGCTTCCCCCAAAGTGAATAATCTGAGAAAGAAAGAAAGAGAATGTCCAAGAAGGAATCCTCAATATCTTCTATAACCTAATGTTAGAAGTGACATACCATTGCTCTGCCATATTGTATTAGCACAAACCAAACCTGGCACACTGAGGGAGCAGACTATATAAGGATGTGAACACCAGGAAGCAGGCATCACTGGGAGGCAATCTCAGAGGCTAGTGACACCAGAGTGATACAGTCCCCAATCCCCTTGCCCTGAAACAACAAAACACACCATTAACCCTTCTAACTTAGACATTTTAGAATTCTAAGACTTTATTTAGCTAAGTGAAACTATCTTTCACCCAACAAGATCAGAAAGGCAAATATTTTTGATAAAATCTAGTAATAGTATGATTATTTCTTCCATTTATTGAGTGCTCGCTATGTGCCAGGTAGTGGGCAGACTTTACATGGATTATCACTGGGCTCTCAGCTACTTGGCAGCAGTGAGGTTTTCTTGCTGGTTCACTGTCAGAGTCCCAGTGCCTAGAATAGTACTGGCACACAGAAGTTCTCAATAAATATTTATTGACTAAATGATACAATTAAACCTTCAAAATAACCTTGCGAAGTGTTATCTCTCTTTTACAAATAAATCAGAAGATTGTAGTGGCTTGCCCAAAGTCATAAAGCAAATACGTGGTAGAGTCAGGCTTGGGATGCAGGTCTATGTAGTTCCAAAGCCTGTATTCTTATCCATCACACTCCACCGTCTCCTTTGTTTCTACTGTATATCCTGACCAATGAAAATATAAAAACAAAAGGGCCTGAGGTTATATCAGAAGTATATAACTTCATAGATGCTTTACAATAAGCTATTTCCAATCTACTACAGTTTGAAAAGTTGATTCCCTGTTACTTGTTATCAAGGTAATATAGTAGCCAAGGATGAGCACTATTGCCCTGGAAGGAAAGGTAAGTGATAGATCCCTAAACACACACACACACTCACACACACACACACACACACATTCAGATTTCCACTCTGCATGAAAGACCTGTGAACAGATAACATTGTTAATATGTAACCGTTCCAAGTTTTCCCCAATCCCTCTGCTTGCCAATGATGGCTTTGATTTTGACTACTCAATGTCACCCCAGACTTCATATTTGGAGAAGAGTTCTTCCATTGCCAGAAGAGTCTTCCAAATGTTGGGATCAGAATCAGAAAAGGAATGGAAGCAGGAGAGAGACAGGAGGACAAGGTAGGGTTGGAGGAATAAATCTTAAGAAGGAAATGAGAATTTCTGAGAAGCACAAGAGAGCAGCTATTGTGAGAAAGTGGATAGGAGAAGAAAAAAATATGTCAAAGAATTGCTATGAATGTTTATCCTTTACAGGTTTTTACAAACACTCAAAGAACTTGAGTGGTTTTGAAGTCACTCTTTGGTTTCTGAACAGCGTTCTTTGATCAAGACAGTGCACTGAGACTAGATAATATAGGATATAGTATTGAATAATTACACACAAGAACCTTACCATAAGAAGAATTTCATAGACGACAATGGAAGCACCACACTGAGATACCGCTGAAGTCAGAAAAAAGAGAGAGAACATGGAGAAGGTGGGAACATCCTGCTAACAGGTAGTGTTTAATATTCTCTGCTTTAGAGAATATTAATAGATCCCAACTATGAAGTTATGATGATATCAGGGTGCTTGAAAAAAGTGTATATAGGCTTAAGTAGCAAACTGCAGAGCCCCCGAATTTTATACTAGTCCCAGTTCTGATTAAAGAAATTGAAGAAGATACAAGTAAATGGAAAGATATCCTGTGTTCATGGATTAGAAGGATTGATACTTTTAAAGTCTCCATACCAACTAAAGTGATCTACAGATTCAATGCACTCTCCATCAAAATTCCAATGACATTTTTCACAAAAAGAGACTAAATCCTAATTCATATGGAACTACAAAAGATTCTAAATAGCCAAAGCAATCTTAAGCAAAAAGAACAAAGCCGCAGGCTTCACACTACCTCATTTCAAAATCCACGACAAAGCTATAATATAATAATCAAAGCAGCAGAGCATTTGTGTAGAAACAGACACCAATGGAACAGAATAAAGAGCCCAGAAATGAATTCACACACTTTTACTTAATTGATTTTCCACATAGCGACATACAATGAGGAAAGGACATTTTCTTCAATAAATGGTTCTAGGAAACTGGATATCCACATGCAGAAGAGTGAAATTAAACCCACATCTCACACCATATTCAAAAATCAACTGGAAATAAATTAAATATTTCAATGTAATACCTGAAGCATAAAACTATTAAAAGAAGACATAGTGAAAAATCTCCATGACATCTAGGCAACAATTTTTTTTAATATGACCCCAACAGCACAGGCAGCAAAAGCAAAAATAAACAAATGAAATTACATAAAAAATGAAAAGCACTGCACAGCAAAATCACCAGGTGAAAACATAACCTATAGAAAGGCAAAAAATATTTGCAAACCAGACATCTGATAAGGGGTTAATAGCCAAAATATATAAGGAACTCAAACAACTCAATAGTAAGAAAACAAAAGCCCATTTAAAAACAGGTAAAAGACTTGAATAGCAAATTTTCAGAAGATATGCAAATGGCTAACAAGTAAATGAGAAAAATGCTCAATGTCACTAATGATCAAGGAAATGCAAACTCAAAGCACAATGAAATATCATACCACACCTGTTAGAATGGCCATTATCAAAAAGACAAACAATAACAAGTGTTGACAAGGTTGTAGAGTAAAGGGAACTGTTGTTAGAAAGGCATATTAATGTAGCCATTATGGAAAGCAGTGTGGATTTTCCTCAAAAATTAAAAATAGGATAACCATATGATCCATGATTTCACATGTGTGAAATCTAACAAAGTCAAACCCATATAAACAGAGTAGAATTATGCTTATCAGAGGTTGGCAGTGGGGAGGAGGATTGGGGAGATGCTGGGGAAGAAAGAAAAACAAAGACACTGAAGCAACTTTTTAAAAAAAGAGTCAGAAAAACAATAATCCATACCTTTGACCCCCAAATTTTACTTTCAGAAATATCTCTTTGATCCAAGTGTGGAAGTACATGTCTATAGTCCCAGCTACTTGGGAGGCCAAGACAGGAGGATTTCTTCAACCCAGGAGTTTGAGGCTGTGGCACACTATGATCATGCCTGTAAATAGCCGTTGCACTCAGACTGGACAACATAGCAAGACCCCATCACAAAAAAAGAAAGAAATATTTCTTAAGAAACAAAACATTAAGAAATATAAAGATTTATGAAAAAGAATATTTATAAAGGTTACTCAATTAAAACATATTATGATACAACCTATATGTCCAATAAAAACATAATGATAAATAAAATAACAAAAACAATCACTTAAGAAAAGGAGAACATAAATAACTTTTATTTACATATTTGTACTTTTGTATTTTAGAAATATTCTACAACTGGATGTGATTTACTTTCATGGTATGGAAGGAAAAAATGTTTTGTTTTTAAAAAGATAATGAGTCCTAATAGCAACAGGACAGATTCAGTTTGGCTGTGAAGAAATATGGCTAGATGGGACAGAACGCCAAGCCCTGGTTACAATAGTTAGGTGGTGTAAAATTTTTATTTTGGGGATTTAAGAGGAAAGTCTTTGATGGCTGGGCCAGTGTAGTCAAGAAAGAGCTGAGGAAATGTATACCCAGAGATGGAGGAAAGAAGTGAATAATCTTTTTGGGTTCTTTCCAAAAAAGAATAAATATTCTTCTTCCTAAAGAACTCCTTTTAGTATTTATTTTACTTTAGTTGTGCTACTGACACATTCTGTTTGTTTTTGTTTGTCTTAATCGTCTATTTGGCTTTAATGTTTGCTAAATATTTTTTCTGGATATAGAATTTTAAGTTGGACTTTTTTTCAGCAGTTCAAAGAAGTTATTCGATTATTTCCTGGATTCTGTTGTTTCATAAGAAAATTTATATTATTTTATCTTTTTTTCCTCTGCCTATTTTAAAGATGTTCTCTTTGTCTTTGCTTTTCAGCAGTTTTACAAGGAAAGCCTGAATGTGGTTTTATTCTGATGTTTTCTTCTCAGAGTTTGCAAGAATCATTAAACCTGCGGGGTTTATTCATTTTGCAACATTATATCCCATTAGCTCTTCAAATTTTGCTTCATCACATTCTCTCTTCTCATACTGGAACTCAAATTATACCATTTTTAGAAATATTTACTGTGCCTCATATATCTATTATACTCTTCAGTGCTTTTTTAAATTCTTTTTTAAATCCTTTGTTTCATATGGATGTTTTCTATTGGCCTATTTTTTCAGATTATTACTTCTGCTTTCTTTTGTATCAAATCTTCTGTCAAATCCATCTATTGAGCTTCTCATTTTAGTTATTACATTTTTAGTTCTAAAATTTTAATTTGATTGTTGCTTTTAAAATCTAACTAACTGCTAAAATTCTGTATCTTTTAATATATTTTCTTAGTTTTTTTGTATTTTTCTCAAACATGTTAATCCTAACTATTTTAAAGTTCACATCTGATCAGTTCAACACTTGGATCTCCCATGGGTCTTTCTATCGGCTAGCTTTTCTCTTGAATTTGGTCACTTGGTCCTAGTAATTTTTGATTGAATTGTGTATGAGAAAGACTCTGAATAATGTTATCTTCCTCCTGAAATGGTTCATCCTTTCCTTTGCCAAACAGATAGATTGGGGACTATCAACTTTCACCAATCAAGGACAAAGCTGATTTGAACTAGATTTTCAGTTACAGGTAGGATCATCTTTCATTTATCTCCTCTTCCTGGAATTCTCAATAAGAGCTTGAGGTGTTAACTGGAGATTTTTCTGCACAGTTGGACCTGAATTCTAATCCTCATCCCTTT
Organism: Homo sapiens; assembly: GCF_000001405.40. NCBI lineage: Eukaryota > Metazoa > Chordata > Mammalia > Primates > Hominidae > Homo > Homo sapiens. The sequence goes on along the minus strand of NC_000011.10, from coordinate 34,672,523 downwards.
GGTATTCTGAGACTACCAAAATTGCATTCTGTTTTTCAGAGTCTAAGTTTGTTCGTCCCCTGCCCCAAGAAGTTTCAAATTGACAAATACTAATGGTAGGGAAGCTGATATGATGTTGGAATCAGTTATCCAGCCCTTTCTTCTTACTGACATTCTGACCCTTCAAATTTTTTTTTGTCTCTTCAGCCTCACGAGACTATCAAAATTTCAGTGGGTTTCTCTGCCCTCTTAGTAGCTACCCCTTGCTTGGGCCCTCTTTCCAAATCCCAAACTAAAAAATTCCCAAAGACAAAAAGTCACAATGTCCTTTCACATTTCTGCATGACTTCCTCTTCTTTAGAATTTTGTCCCCTTGAATCCTGGTTGCCATAGCAGCTGTCAATGCATTCTTGGCTTCCTTACATTTTTCCAGCTCCAGATAAAAGTTCCTGTAAGGAAATAGCTTATGCTCTAAGAGGCAAGCCATCACTATTATGTTCTATTCCTCCTTAACAAGAATAAGTCTCCTTGTAGCAGCATTAGAAAAAGCTAAATTCACAAATATTGGGTCATATGCCCTCTGTTCTTTGACCTCTGAAGCTTTGTTGCTGTCATTTTCTCTACAGAACTGTTTTCCATAAGCCCGTCACCAGCTACCTTCACAATTTTACGAACTAGAGCTCTTCATTTTGTAATCAACAGAAAACTTATACTATCTAAGTATGTTCTTATTGTTCTTATTGGCTGCTGTAACTGAAAAGTTCAATAATAGGGGTTACTTCAGGTCTAACCTGATCCAGGAGTTCATGATATCATCAGGGACCCAGCAAAAGTCCTCTGAAATTTGGTTTGTCCTAACCCTTCTCAATGTATTGACTTCATCCTCAGGCTAACTTCTCTCATGGAAGGAAGCAAACAGATAGTTGCAATAGTTCTGGGATTCGCATCCTCATATTATTCAGTCTTGAGGAAGAGAGTTCTATGTTCCAACATTTCCAGCCAAAAGTCCTGAGATTCACTCTGATTGTTCCATCTGAGGTCACACCATCTGAGGTCACATAGATAACCCTCACCAAGGATGCAGAAAGATGTGATCTGCTCAGCCTGGGTAGTGGTTCCATGTCTGGAGTTGAAGAAAGAGCTAGTTTCCTCAGAATCACATAGTTCCCCATATAAACTGAGAACTCGCAGAAAGAGAGAAGAGAAGAATGTAAACTCAGGAGGAACCAAGAAGAATTCATTACATTATGAAACCTGGCCAACCAAGAGGTGAATCCAAATAAAGAAGTACAAGATGAGTAATAAATGTGAAAGAACAGGTAGCAAATATTTGACACACATAGATTTAGATCTAAGACTAAACAACTTTGGGATTTTGGTCCTGATTTTGTCAAAAAGAATAAAAGTATTTAAATCTCAGTAAAATAAAAATGAAAATAGACTAACCCAAATCAGTAAGTAGGGAAAGGAAAATATGAAAAACAACACGAGAGTTAATTTTATCATCTTTTACAGCAAGGAGCTAACCAATCCTATCTAAAAATGAATGGATTTTGTAAAAGCATAATTACCCCAATATCAGTCTTTTCATAATTTTATTTTTATAAACATACACATATCTCTTGAAGATACCATATATTAAAAGAACATTTATTTGAATTGACTCCATATCTTTTTCTTCAAGTTGAGTTCAAGTCAAATTGGCTAATTTTTAATTCTTAAATAGCATGTCAGTTTGTATTATTATAAAATTATTTGTCTGTACAATTATTCTTTTTAATGAATAACTAATGTATTAATATGACTGATACAAAGTTTTGCAAATCTTGATTCACTGCACCCTCTCAGTTTCCACCCCTCAATCATCTATCTTTTTATTATTCTAGAAGCCTCGAAAGTTGTCTACCAAATGTATACAATGATTCTTTTAGTTGTGAGATTTGTAGTATATATTTTTTAACTTCCTTTGTATTTTCTATATTTCATTTTTTATAATGATCAGACATCAGGTTTTTTAAGTTATAATATTAGAAATGAAAATGATTACTGCCTTTTAATGGAAATTAAATTCCATGCTTTGGGGGAGGATTTCCTGGCTGCCAGGACCAGAGATCACCTTTCTTTTTTCTGCCATCTTGTATCCTAACTTTGCATCACTCACACACCAAACATACTCCCTAAGACCAACACTCTTAGTAGACATGTAGGGTATTCCTGTTGCAGGAGCTCCCTGAGAGTCCAATCTGTGATTCCATCATTAGCATTGCTGGGACCAACCAGACTCAAGAAAAGGCAACATCTCTCAAGAGTTTTGAATTTCAAATTACACATGGTGCCCCAGGGACCTGTTTATTTTTGTGTTTTTGGCAAAAGTCTACTTCCTTCCTGTTTCTAAGAAAGCAGACTCAAAGAAAGAAGGGACTTCTCTTAGCTGTTCAAACCTCAGGCAGTGCTTCCTTTAGCAGTTTAGGAGTTTCACTGAAAGAAATGCCATTGCTTGGGAGCTGGGTTCAAATCCTAATTCTGCCACTTGGGAAATTTACATAATTATTCTGAATCTCAGTATCTTCCTCCCCAGGGAAAGATGATAATAATGACAGCACCTTGCTCATAGAGTTAAGTGAAATACAGGTAAAGTGCGACACTTTGTCTGACACAGAGTAAACACTTAATCAGTATCAGCCTTCATGGTTACCTGTGAGCCAGGTCCCCAAGAAGCAGTGTTAGCAGATGGGGATACAATTCTTAGATCCGAAAGGACAGCATCCCTTGGAATTGGCTAAGTATGTCCAGGGATCCAGGCTCTGCTGATTTTTTCTCCACTCCCCTCCCACCTACTCAACCCTAAAACTCCACTAGAGATGACTCAGCATTCACTTTAGCTCCCAATCCGTTCTAGGGGCATAAGGGAAGCCATTTTTAAATAGTGTGGCTGAGATATAAACATTTAAAGAAATGTTGGACTTGATTCAAACTTATTTTCATAAATTCCTGGAACTTTCTGTTTGGAATGGCCTGAGATGATCTAGTCCAATCTATTGATTTACAGTGATTTACAGGCAAAGAAACTAAGGCAATAGCGTTTTTAAAACTTGCGTAGGGTCCATGGCTACTTAGAGTTACAGCCATGCCTGGAAACCAGGCATACTGTCTCCCTGCAGTTCCCCGTTATTGATCATACTGCAATGTAATACCCTAGTTATTTGGTTCTCTTCCCCATAAGTATAAGCTCCCACTTAGAACCTCTGCTTTTTCATGAGGAAGCTGAGGCTTAAAGAGTTTAAGCCACTTGTCCAAGGTCACCCACCTTGTAAGTGAAGGTATGTGAATTAAAACAAGAGTTGTTCCAACTCAAAAGCCTGTGCTTTTTACTCTGTTAGCCTGTATTCCAGTTTCCTTACTAAAGAAAGAATGGAGCCAGGAACAGCGGCTCATGCCTATAATCCCAGGCATGGATTTGGAGGCCAAGGTGGGAGGGTTGCTTGAGTCCAGGAGTTCGAGACTAGCCTGGGCAACATAGAAAGCCCCTGTCTCTAAAAAAGAATTTTAAAATTAGCCAGTTGTGGTGATGTGTACCTGTAGTCCCAGCCACTCGGGAAGCTGAGGCTGGAGAGCTGCTTGAATCCAGGAGGTCAAGAGTGCAGTGAGCCCTGATTATGCCACTGCCCTCCAGCCTGGGTGACAAAGTGAGATCCTGTCTTTAAAAAAAAAAAAGAGAGAGAGAGAAGAATGAGCATCAATGGAGGCAGCATGGTGGAGTAAAACTGGAAGTGAGATGAGCTCTCATGCTGACCTACTGTGCGAACTTGGACCACTCACAACCTTGTCTTCAGTCTGTCTGGTGCAATATGGCAGCACCTAGTGCCGTGAACCTTGATTGTCATCAATTCATAGTTGAAAGTGTTGAATAAGTAAAGCACTTATTTCTTGCACCATGAAGCCATGTCCTTCACTTCTCCTTGCTTTCTCTCTCATAGGAAACCTTGGTGGAGAGTCCAGCATAGGCCCAGAATCTTGCAATCCACATCCAGGTGAGACGTGTCCTCAGGTCAAACCTAAGAGATGCCCTCTGTTTTCACAGCTTCAGCAGGGATCACTGATTCTATCTAGTGTGAATGCACTGTTTGTTTTCCTTCTTCTCTTTCTGTTTGCCATTGGAAAAGTCCATTAGTGCTGAGTGACATGACTAAACAGTAAAGGAGAGAACAGTTGATGTGTTAATAACTCTTAGGTAAATACCATTTGTTATTGTCACCGCTGAGGCTTTCAGAGAGATGGCACCATTCCTGGTCCTGGACTGTCCTCTTGTTGGCTCTGTCTTTCAGCAACCTGGAAAGACAGGTTTGGAGGGGGAAGGAGTCTGAAAGGGATAGGTGAGCAAGAAGAAGGAAGGGTATGGGAAAGGAACAGGGACTCTGAAAGAGACACAGAGAGCAAGAGAGAGAAGGGCAGGCAGACATACAAACATACAACACATAAACACACACACACATACACACACATACACACAGTGAAGCAGAGGAGAGAAGACAGAAGTGATGATTAATGGGATCTTTTACCAGATTCCAGGAACACTCTGTGTCCCTTCCTCAGAAGTGCTGGGACTTTTGCATCCATCATTTCTTAACAGCGCTGACATGGTCCCTCTGGTTCCATACATCGGCCCTTCCACCAATGTCTAGGATGTGCAGTTCTTCCTGCCTGACTTGGCTGTGGCCCAGAGGGAAGATGATGTTGGCTGGATTTGAGGAATCAGCACAAGAAAGTTGCGTGGTATCACCATGGAGTCCAGGAGGAAAAAGGAGCTTCCCTGAAGATGTCTCTGCTTTGAGGATGGAAGAGCCCTGTGAATATGGGGGGACCATGGCCAAGAAGATTCACATTGGGTGGGATTTTTGAAGAGGAAAGTGGGAAGACTGGTTTCCCCTTCTAGCCAAGAGCCTGGGTGACCTTGAGTTTGCTCTTTAAGCTCTCTAAACTCTTATGAGAAGAGTTTGTACCAAATAATCTTCCAGCTCTGGGGCTATGATTTTAAGGCAGATCAGATATCAAATCCTCTTTGAATCTTAGTCCTTACCCAGCGACGGTCAGTTATGCCCTTTAACACAGGGTAAAATGACTTGAAGACACCATGTTGACTAGTTATCATTGTATTCCCATACTAGACACTCTAAATATTAATACCTCTCTTTGGGTCATCATAAATTCAAAAATAAGTTTCTTACTTTGTTTAGTGCTTACTTATTTTCTTAATGCTTTCAAAGGAAGACAATAGAACATTATGTTTAAGACCTAAATTCCGGTTTCAGCCAGGCAGAGATTCAAATAGCAGCTCTTCCACATCAGCAGAATGAACTCAGGTACAATTCTTCACCTCTCTGAACCTCAATTTCCCAAACTTGTCTCGTGAGGTTAGAGTGAGGGTTACAAGAAAAAATAAAATCAAAGTGCTTTGCACAATGCCTGCACATATAAACCCTTTAAAATTATTAAATGCGCCGGGTGTGGTGGCTCACACCTGTAATCCCAGCACTTTGGGAAGCTGAGGGGGACGGATCACCTGAGGTCGAGAGTTTGAGACCAGCCTGACCAACATGGAGAAATCTCGTCTCTACTAAAAAAAAAAAAAAAATACAAAATTAGCCAGGCATGGTGGTGCATGCCTGTAATCCCAGCTACTCAGGGGGCTTAGGCAGGAAAATCGCTCAAACCCAGGAGGCGGAGGTTGTGGTGAGCTGAGATTGCACCATTGCACTCCAGCCTGAGCAACAAGAACGAAACTCCATCTCAAAAAAAAAAAAATTATGAAATGAACAGGGGCTAGAATCTGTTTGCTTGATTCCCACAACACTGAGAAGAAGGTATGTCCCCATTTCATAGAAGAAGAAACTAAGGAATGGAGAAATGACAGGTTCATAGTCTCCAGCCAGTTAGAGTTGAAGTCAGGACCAGGAAGAAAACAGTCTGTACCTCCCTTATATCATTATGAAGTTTCTTGAGGCTGACCTTTCAAGAGGCTAAACTTTGAGGCAAAGAATGGGGAGAAAGAAGGGGGCTGAGGATTTAATCTTGGGGAACACAGACAGAAGAATGGGAAGAGAAAGAACTGAAGAACGAATACTCAGGAAAGCAGAGGGCAAGAATTTCATTGGTGCGGAAAACAAGGGCTTAGATTATTTTCCAAAATTAAAGGGGGTAGGGTGTCACCAGTGTCAAAAATCATAAAGTCAAAAAAAGAAAGGCCTTGGAATTTGAAAATAAGCATGTCCTTTATTTATTTATGTATTTATTTATTTATTTATTCTACAAATATTTATGGGGTCAGGGGGACATGTCAGGCACATTGTCGCTCTAGGAACACATTGGCCAACATGGAAGTTTCTGGCTCCTGCTCTCCAAGAGCTTATGTTCTAGCAGGGATAAGAAATACTATAAAAGTAATGAATTTTGGGAGGTGGGAGACCAGAGTTTTATTATTACTCAAATCAGGTTCCCCAGACATTCGGGGAGCAGAGTTTTTAAGGATAACTTGGTGGGTGGAGGGAAGCCAGTGAGCCAGGAATGCTGATTGGTCAGAGACAAAATCATAAGGACTTGGTAAACTAATGAATTTTAAAAAATAATTTCAGATACTGTAAGTTCTGTGAAGATTAAATGTGGACAATATAATAGGAAGCAACGCGAGGTAGGTGGGCAGCTAAAGCAAGTACAATCAGGAAAGCAACGTTTTGAACTGAGACTGCATGACTAAAAGGAACCAGCCACATGAAGATCGAAAGTGCGTTGTCAGTATAGGGAACAGCTATAGGAAAGTTCCTGAGGCAGAAATGAGTTTGACTATGACCTCCAGTAGGGCATTGTCAGTGACTTGATGTGAACAGAGGCCAGATCATGATAGTAATGAAGGAGAATTGATTTATAAGGAAAGAGCGCCTAAGGGCAGATGACTTATGCAAGAAGTCGTTCTTGAAAAGAAGGAAGAAAGTGGTATTAGTGCCATTTATAGCGGAGTGGGCAGTGGCAACCATTTCTATTTGGGGACCTTTCATTTCCCTTCCCATTTTGGTCATCTTCCCTTAATGCCAATATTATCCACCAAAAAGCCACATCCTTGGAAAATTCATATTAATGACTGTAGGGTATTTTTGGGGTTTGGAGATAAGAATAATCAAATCCTCCCACACCAAGGCTCCACTGACAACATCAAACCTGTTTGTACTGGCAGCTACTGTCATCACTCCAGCAAACACAGTTATTTGCTTTGGATCTTTATTTTTTGTTCTCTACAATTCAGGGTCACCTTTGGTTTCTAAGGCTCCCAGGAATCTTATTTCACTGTTGGTTAGCTTTGATCACTATCCTTTCCACCCTTACCCGACCCTCCCAGGTCAGATTTTAGAACAGTACTGTCCTATGGAATTTTCTCTGATGATGGAAATGTTCTGTACTCCACTGTCAAATAAAATAACCATTAGCCATATGCGACTATTCGGCACTTGAAAAGTGGATCAGTGTGATTAGAAACTTAAATTTTAATTTATATAATTGTAAGTAATTTAAACTTAAATTGTCACCTGGGGCTACAGCCTGTAGTTTTGAGTAGATAATTCTAATGAGTTAAAATTGAGGAGGGTTCATAGTTTTCAAAGAGTCACTTTGCAAGGTCTTTGTGATTACTGAGAAATGCATCAACGCAGATAAATAATGCCCAGGTCAGTAAGTGAGGGATTTCTTCTCAAGGAGGAAAAAATGGAATATATTCAAAGCTGGCCAAGTTTGATGTGCAGAAATATTATCAGAAAACTTATTCGGCCCAAACATGAAAAATATTGCCTCTTCTGAGAAGTAATTTTTAAAGATTAGGAGTGTCCTAAGGGGTGCTGGTTTCATGAGGTCTCCTTTGATGAAAGGTGTCCATCGTCAAATAGGCTTAGGGAAGTGGGCACACTTTTTCCCTCTCTTGTAGATTCACAATGCACATTATCATAGTAAAAACTCTGAGAAGTCTTACAGTAACTAGCTCTGTTTAACTATAGAAACCTCTATGTGTGTGCATGTGTGTGTGTGTGTGTAAAACATTAGCGTCCTGAGAAACTAGAGAAATATTACTGGTAGAACATGGACTTGCGTTGGGGATGGTAGGGAGGAAAGAGGGACGTGTGTAAACAATGCCAGATCTACCCCTTATTACCAGCTGTGTGACCTTCAGAAAGTCACTTAACTTTTCTGATCTTCATTTCCCTCATATGAAAATTGGAGATAATATCTATAAATCCAGGCTTATATGAGAAATGAATATAATAATATATGTAAATAGCATTATCATAATTCCTGGGACAAGTGAATCTTCCCAGAGTAGTTAGCTATTATTGATTTCATGATCATTTATGAAATTATGTGACTAAATAGCTGAGGCTTTCTGGACCCAGGGAGAAACGTGCTATGAACTACTGGAGCTCACTTACTGCCTGGTGACATTTTTAAGTATTGTATTAGAGACCTGGATATAAGGGTCATCTTTTCTACCTTTCTTTATATCCAGCATTGAATGCCTTCCTGCAATCCATTCTCAAAACAACAGCCAGAAGAATCCTTTTAAACCAGAAGTTGGATCATGTCACTCCTCTAGTATCTCCATCACACGCATGCAAAGGAAAAACTAGAGCCTTCGTAATGGCCTCTATGTGATCTGGCCCACCAGTACCTCTGTTTCACCATTTCTTAACTATTGCCGGTCTACTCTGGCAAACAGACCTCCTCACTGTTCCCTGGGCATGATAAGGAACACACCCACCTTAGGACCCTCTCACATCACTTCAGTATGGAGCACTCCCCCAGTTATCTGTATATCTGTGTGGCTCCTTCCTTTAGATCCTTCAGTTCTTTACTGAAATGTTTCCTTCTTAACACTGCCTAAATTTACAGCATGCCCTTATTGTATTAAGTGCTCTAGCAGTCTCTGTTCCTCTATATTTCTTTACTACACATCCAATATGCTATGCTTTATTTATTTATTTGTGTTTTTTCTTGACTGTTTCTACTCAATACAACATAAATTTTATGAGAGCAGAGATTTTTGTCTCTTTCATCCTCTGCTATAATTTGGTGCCTAGAACAATATCTGGCACGAAGTAGATGCTCGATAAATGCTTTTTGAGTAAAGTAACGCAGAAGCTGTATGTGTTCTGTTGCTAGAGGCTAAGTGCATTTTCTCTAAGCCCAGCATTGAATGGCTTATTGAAGAATGAAACACGCATTTCCAGGCTGGTCTCTGTGGTTTTTATTAGTGTTTCCTGGGACCCATCAAACAAATAAACATATTTTGAAAAATATAATTCTTTGACAAAACAGGAATAGCAGGAATAGTTTGAATTTAACATAGCTTAAAGGGAAAGATTTCTGATTTTTTTTAAATAGTAGCAATAGAGTTGTTTCCACAAATTGTCAACCCAGGAGCCAGATGGAAAGAAAAACAAGAATTATGCAGATAACTACAGAAAGATTAATCCCAATTTAGTTAAACTTGTGAAGGCTTGTACGTTTCAGAGGTTCATAAGACACAGTCTCAACAGGAGTTTTTTTTAATAAATGCTCTATCTCTAGTTCCAGAAACTGAATTCCAAGAAGCTACACTGAGGATAATTCAGCTCTGATATTGTGATTACTGTGATGTTCTTTCATTCATACAGTAAGTATCTGCCCAATACGTAACTACCGAGATCTATTGCTTCCTACATAATTAGACAAGCTCCTCACACATATGGGCCCATGCCGTGCACATAGCAGGCACTCAACAAGTGTTTGCTTAACTACAGAAGAATAATATAATTGCCTTCCTTCTTAACTGTTTTACCTTTTTCTATACTTGATATATTTGAAAAACAACATGCTTGCAAAACTAAAATCTAACATGCATTACTAACTTTATCAAAAGATCCCTCAGTATTTTTCAAAAAGGAAAAAAATAATAAAAACCAATCCCCCAAATACTAAAACTTAGAACTGCTTTACACTTAAATAGCAATTTACATCATATTAACATATTCATAATCTTCATTGGTTAAAACAGGTCAAAGGTTTATTACTGGCTTCTCATACCAGATAAGTCTCACAGTTCCCAATAAGGCAACAGAATCCTCATCCAACATATATTGACTTGTGGAACCCAACGGCCTGTTTTGGTTTCATTTCAGCGCAAGTAGAAGGCAAAATAAAGAGTCTCACAGTAAAATGTTCATAGTAGATAATATGTCCTTGAAGGTTGTGCCGTTGTGCTCTTATTCCACTGAAGAAATGATTCACATCCCAATTATAGATATGGTCTCCCAATCAGAGGAGTCTTTTAGAAGACATTCATTCATTCATTGAACAAATATGTGTTGTGTACTTGTCCCATGCTAGGTAACAGGAAAATAATAGTGATTGATAAGACATAGTCCCTGTCCTCAAAGAGCTAACAGTCTAGCAAGGCAGGAACTTTGAGAAAAGACCAATGTGTTCAAAGGAAAACTCACAACCTGGGTCTCCCTTCTCAGATGGCACATTCAAGAAACTGTTGCTTATGCCCCTGGGAGCCAGAGCCTTACTTAAGTCTTACCAAGTCAAATATCTATCAGCCTCAGATGATTTGAGCCTGGTAAAGTCTTAGCAATAGATTTGCTGCCTCATGTTCCCATGAAAACCTAATAAGAGAGAGCCCTTTCAACTCAGGCATACGGGGGGTTTAAGGATAACATGTTTAGTGACCATGTGGACATTCAGCACAGGTGAGCTTCTCAAGTGAGAGCCATGTGTCCCCAAAAGAAAGGAGGGTTTATCCATAAGACTTTGCTCTCCCTTTCAACACTGTGGTGGGAAGTACTCTGTTACCACCCCAAGTTGGCATAGCTCGATTACTTTAAGTTCTCCAAGTCACGAACAGCACATAGAAAATGCAGCAAACTCAAGTCAAGACAATAGAGAGATATGCTGAGAACTTAATACTCAAGCCTTAATCAGGCACCAGATGCCAAGAAACCTTCACTCTCAACAAACAACACAATCCACTAATTATCTGTAGAATTGTTGTAGTTGGTACTCTTCACATTCACTTACTCCTTAGCAAAGATTGCTCTTGAATGGAAAGGTTGCAGAAAGAGCCAAAGCCAATTTGGAAGAAGTGAGAAACTTACAGGTTTGAGGAATGGTGAAGTCAGCGAAGGATCTAGCCTCCTTAGATGATGAACAGGCAAAGTCAGAGAAGGAACCACAGTGAGAGAATTGGCAGATGCCCCTAATAAAATCACACAACTCAGACACACACACAGACACACAAATATTCATGCGTTATACCCATTCAAGTAACTGGATATTTAATTCATTCTATGCAATGAACAGTCAAATGCTGGGAAGGCCCCATAGTTCTTTGGCCTTCTTGTAAAGCAACATATGTCTTTTCTGCAGGAATGTCTGAGTTGCACAGTCAAGATCGTTGCTGTTCATTGTTCTTTTTCTCAGCTCTTTCAGTAACTGTTACTTGACAACACTAAGTTAAACCTTTACAGAAGTGACCAAGCCAGGCAGAAATAAAAATGGATTTGGTTGCACCTTCAGAAAGTTATTCATGTGTGCTCCAAGATCACTACCTAGAATGGTTCTCATTGTAATTAGGACAAATTTTTAATTCTTCTTACTTCCAGCCTCATGAATATATTACAAACACTTTGCAACCTTTGAATATGAATTGCTCACCTCTACCAGGTATGACACTGTGGTAGGTGCTCTATTAGTTGATGAAGAGCACTCCTTCTTATGGATACATGTCTTCATTTGCATATTATTGCTGGAGAAAGAGAGGTAGAATAGAGGAGCAAGCCAAGGACATGAGAGAGCCAAAAAGAAAAGCTGCAAAAGGGATGAGAACATTCAAATCCATTTTCAAAGTGTCTACTTATTCCTGTGCTTCCCAGATTGCATGGCTCAATGGTAAGTCTCCAGGACCCCCAGAACAATTCCTCTATTGAAGAAGAAGCTTTTAACTCCTTGGTGACAATTGTGCCTGAGCTGAGTTTTCTGTTTATTTTTTTCATCCTTTCTTTCCTTTCTTAAAAGACAAAACAAAACAAAAAAAATTCCTCTGAGTACAAATCTAGGCAATAAACCGTTCACCTGGGATCAGTTCAGATGAGACAGTAAACAGATAATCCAAAAGACAAAAAATTATAAGAATTAATACCTGCAAAGAGGATTTTCCCTGGAAATTCTTTTCTTGGTGTTTCCTTCTACAATATAATTTTAATTCTGCTTTGTAATTCCAGTGAAAATGTCTTCTATTGTAGTTCCTGCTACATTACTATGCTTACTTTATCTGACATTGGCTCTCATCTGGGGTTCTGAAAAGAAGCTCCTCTAGCTATTTCAACTTATTGTCCCTAACATTTAAAACATAAAGATAGGTTGAGGTTGAAGTCTTGCTTTTGCTTCACTCTAAGGAGCTAAAAGACCTTACATATCTTTTTCTTCTGAGAATAAACCACCATCCTCATATTGACTAGCTAAACTGGTGGTTCTCAATCAAGGGCAAATTTGCCACCCCCAGGGAACATTTGGTGATGTCTAGAGACATTTTGCGTTATCACAGCTGGGGGGTTTCTGGTGTCAAGTGGTTAGAGACCATGAGTGGATACTGCTGAACATCTTACAATGCACAGGAAAGCCCTCACCACAAAGAACACTCCGGCCAAAAATGTCAATTGTGCAGATTGAGAAACCTTGGACTATAGGGATACAAGAGCAAACTCTTCAGCCATTTCCACACCACCGTCTCCTTTTTCCAACTTATTTTTAAGCACTTGGAGCAAAAAAGAACCAAGCTGGGTTCTCTCTTAAATAGCTAGAAGTGAGCAGACAGGGCAATTAAAGTATTTCACCAACCATCCAAAGGGGAGAAAGGAAGACAGCCCTGGCATCAGATAAACCATTCCTGAATGAGTATAAAGACCCCACCATTATTCTTCTTGCTGATTTAAGCATTCCAAGTCATGTGGTTATGCAGAGATTATAGCCAACCTTGGGTTTTGGAAGTCCCCATTCTCCACTCATTGGATCCTAAGGCTCAGGTTAAACTTCCCGGCATCCATCCACTTTGTCCTAACCATCTGAGACCCTGGAATTTAACTCAGCAACAATGTTCACCTCCCTTGACGAAGCCATATGGATGCTTATGTGAGGAGGATGCATCACCTTTTTCTAAATCATGTCACATACAAAACATTTAATGCCCTCTGATTTTGTTTTTCTTTCTCTTAGCAAGAAGCACAAGGCTACAAATCCTGTTACTCTTGCAGTGAAAAAGAATTCACAATAGAGGTGAAAAAAAATCACAACCACATACAGCATCATATTTCACAGAAAACTGTGTACGTTTTTTCCCCATATAGGACATACTTCGAAGTAACAAAATAATTTTTTTAATCGACCGTAGTGTTTCTTCTTCCCGTTAGAAGTAGTTTCTTGTTCCCCTCATGGTACATAAATATCAGAGAAAAGTAGTCTTTGAAATATTTACGTCCAGGAGTTCTTTGTTTCTGATTATTTGGTGTGTGTTTTGGTTTGTGTCCAAAGTATTGGCAGCTTCAGTTTTCATTTTCTCTCCATCCTCGGGCATTCTTCCCAAATTTATATACCAGTCTTCGTCCATCCACACGCTCCAGAATTTCTCTTTTGTAGTAATATCTGTAACAAAGGAGATTGCATAAGGTGACTGATCCGATGAAGGTTGCTAGGTAAATAATGGGTCGTACAGCCTTTTTGTTTTCAGAGACATGAAACTCCTCACCTCATAGCTCGGCTGAGCTTTTCATAGGTCATGCTGCTGTTGTTCTTCTTTTTACCCCATAGCTGAGCCACTGCCTCTGATTTCAAGAACCTGAAGACGCCCTCAGATCGGTCTTCCCATTTTATTAATCCTGGGTTCTTGTCTGGGTTCAAGAGGATGTCGCGGATGAATTCCCATAAGTGAGTCCCTCTCGGGTCTGATGAAAAGCAGAAAGGCAGGTTACTAATGATCTAAGTCACAGCAAAGATAGGGCAGAGAGCATTGAGTTAGGTCATCTTCCTGCAAGTAGGAGATACTCATTTCTCCCCTACTTGTCAGGGAAGATGGATCGCAGAATCACCAGATGTTGGACATTAAAAAGGTATTTAAGAATAAACTAGCACAATATTTTATTTTACAAATCAGGAAACCGAGGCACAGAGAACTTAAGTGACTTGATCAGGATCACACAGCTAACTAGTGACATAGCCAAGACTAAGCAATAGGTCTTAGGTCTCCTAAGCCAGGGGGAAGTTTCTTCTAGTTATTATCCACAAATTGCTTGGGGTTCACTTCAACCTGTTACTTCCCCAGAGAGCAACTCTCAACCACTTTTATCCAGTATCTCAACCAATTAAATTGCTTTGACCCAGCAACTGTGTTTCAGCCAAATGCAAATCAGTAAGGGTCTAGAATGTTTACTCCCAGAATAGATGAGGGTGGTAGGGAAAGGGGTGGTCACGCAGGGACTGGAGGACCCAATTTGAAAATGAAGCCACTACTGCAATAAGATTATCAACCAAATTCAACTTTACTCCCACTGAATTTTTGATGCCCCACCCCCACCCCACCCACCTTTCGAGGGGTTGCATTAATATGGTTTTGTGGGATTATGTGAAAGAGCAGATAAAGACATTCTAATTCCTCATAATTTCTGGATTATACCTTTTTTTTTTTTCTGAGACAGGATATCACTCTGTGGCCCAAGCTGGAGTACAGTGGTGCAATTACAGTTCATCACAGCCTAGACCTCCCTGGCTCAAGCAATCCTCCTGCCTCAGTCTCCCAAGTAGATGGGACTACAGGCACGTGCCACCATGCCCAGCTAATTTTTGTATTTTTTTGTAGAGATGGGGTCTCGTCATGTTTCCCAAGCTGGTCTTGAACTCCTGAGCTCAAGTGATCCACCCACCTCAGTCTCCCAAAGTGGTGGGATTACAGGCCTAGATTATACCATCTTGATTTCTTTCTGTGTTCCACCCACAATTCCATGTCTCTGATATTTCGTATATGTTCATAAGATTTTATTACTGAAGGAGACCCAACTCCCAAAGAGCAGTGTTGAATCTTAAGAAAAAACAGTCATTTCTTGGAATGGTAACTCCACAAAGGTAGGAGGCCAACATTTAGCAAAAGAAAGGATGATACATCTCAGCTGTTTCTTCTTATCTCGCTCCTCTTCCCACCCTTTTCTTCTGGGAGAGAGGAAATTGCCAACCCCATGCCTGCAAGCAGTTCTTAGGCACTGGGTGTCTCAGTTTTAGAGCACATATGACAGAACAGGGAGGAAATGTCCAGTGGGGCTCCACTTTGAGAAACAGCTGCAGAGGGGGCTTACTTTGCTAGCAAGTGATGCCTCTATTTTCTCACTCCACCCTGTTTGGGATGAAGACATGAAGGCAGCAGACAGAGGCGATATTTGCCAAAAAACTAGTGGCCTCCAGATGTGCCCGATGTGATGGGAAGGACCAAAGGCCATCTGAAAGCCAGCCAACTTACTGTGCTTTTTGGTGTGGCACTTGGCAGGGGGGTCTTGCTCCTTTTTCATATCAGGTGACTCTGCTAAGGAGAAAAATGAGAGGCGTTTAATTGACCTATTTCCTATAATTCTCTTTTTTATTCATGCATCCACTCATTTAAACAATATTTACTGAGCACCTACTGCATGCCTGGCACCTTTGAGTATGTGCTAGTGAACCAAACAAAACAGAGATGATAAATGCTATGGAGAAAAATGATGCAGGTTAAGAAATGGAGATAGATGTATGGACTTGGGAATAATTTGCAATTTGATACAAGGTGGTCATAGGAGACCTCTCTGATTCCACGACCTAAAGGATATGAGGGAAAAGGTCATGCAGAGAGCTTGTGCAACAGCCTTCCATGTGTAACATAGAAGTGCAAAGGCCCTGAGGTTGATGTGTGTTTGGTATATGCATGCTGTAAGAGGCAGAGAGGGAGGAGCTGAGGTTCTGATCATTAATCCCTTATGGGACTTTTAAGGACATGACTCTGAGAAAGATGGAAGCCATTGAAAGATTTAGATCATTGAAAAATTTGTGGTTTTTTTTTTTTAGCATAATAGAAAAATGTAAACATTTATAACAAAGGAAGATGACTTTTAAGCCAGAGGAGTGCCCTTTTTTGGCATGCAAAGTTACATTTTAATCAGCCTGACAAAGGCGCCATTGAGTGGCCCAAGCTCAATACAGAGGGCCACAGTGGACTATGGAAACACAGATTAGTTTAACAAATGACTCATTATGGCAACCTCTGCGACTATTACCAAAGAGGAGATGATGGAGGCGGACCTGGGAAATAAAAATTCTTCTCAGAAAGAAAACTAAATGATCTAGCCGTGTGTGTGTGAGTGTGAGTGTGTGTGTGTATATGTGTGTGTGTGTGTGTGTGTGTGTATTGGGAGGACCAAAGTAGATCTTACAAAGACTCTCACACTCAAAAATCAGCCAATTTTAATACAAAGTAGTCCCTAAATACAAGCCAATTATTTTAAGAAATTGGGCCAGTAAAACTGATCTCTTTCATGTGCCCTTCCTAAACTAGGGTCCACTGACCCAGTGTGGCCTTCAAGGGCCCCTGGACTGACTGAAACCATATATGAAGGGAGAGGGTTCACAGCATCCATTCAATTATCAGGAGAAGCCTATTATTCAAAAAAGCTATGAACTGCCAGCCATTAGCTCCTAATTAAATTGGTTAAGAAAAAAAAGCTACTGTTTATTGAGCACTTACTATGTACCAGGCACTGTACTAAGCACTTTAAATGAATCACTTTATTTAATTCACACAATAACTCTATGACACAGGTACTAATATGATCCACAGTTTTCAGCTGTGGAGGATCTGAGAAACAGAGGGGTCAAATGACTTGACTAGAGTCACACAGCTGGAATGTGGAGCCAGGATATGAACACAAACAGTTTGAATCCAGAAGCTTTACTCATAACCATGATTCTATGTCATTTCCAGAAATGGTGGCCGGCACATAATCTCCCTTTGCACATAACAGATTTCACACAAGCCTTTCTTGCCAAGAATCAGGTTCACTTCTGTAATGCTCTTGTTAGTAGAAAAGATAATTTCAATCTGACAATTCTATATTTCCCAACGTTCATGGGCCCTTTCAACCATCTTATCACCCAGCTAATCAAGACTCAGTGTTCCCAGCAATTTCTCGAAACGTCATGGCAGGATGGAGAGAGGGATTTAATAAGACCTCAGTAAACAAGAAACCTCTCATCCTGGTTAAGAATTTCTCTCCTGGCATTGTCACTAGCAGGGCCTGCACCTGACTTGGGTTTCTCTGAAATCCGAGAGGACAAATTCACAGGAAATGCAAGGAGACTTCACTCTCCCTCCCTGTAGGTTGCAGGGTGAGGTTGCAACATCCCATCAGGATGTGACAATATTGCGACAGGTCTGGCATCCACCCCGGTTTCCAAGTGATACATCACTCTGACAGGGCCACGTTGTACTGCAGACAAAGAGTGGCATTTACCCAGCAGGCCACAAGCAAAGCTCATTTTCAAATGACATCCAGGAGGGATGCAGGGCCATTATTTCAGAGCCAGGAGTTGAATTCAGAAAAATACAAGAGTCTCTCAGTATATTGGCCTCAATTATTGTTTGTGGGTTCCTAGTTGATCTAGAATCAGTTACTTCAGAGTTCAGGTGCCTTTGTGAATAAGACGAAAACCTTGGACCCTCTCCTCAGAAAAAAATGCACATATATGTACACATGAAATTTTGTCAACAATTTCAGGGGGCTGTGGCCCATGCAGCAGTCCATGGACTCTAAAACCTCTACACTAGATAAACCATGAGGAAATATTCTTTGAGTTGTCAGCCGTTTACCCAAGCTAGGCTCCACCCAGCTAGGAACGTTCTTTTTTTAATCCCCAAATAAAAATCTTTCCATCATCATAAAGGGGAATAAGCAGTCAAAGGCAAAAGAAGAACCTAATTTCTTCCAGACCTCTCTGCCTGTTGCAGTGTGCAGGGGTAAGCCGTGGAATCACTGGCCTGCTTTACCACTGATATCTTTTGATCTTTAACCTCTCTTTAATATGTGTCCTTCTTCTGCCCTAGGATAAAAGTCAAGACCTTTGAAGTTAGCCATGTGGTTAAGTGATTCATTCTTATAAAATAATGGCTTGCCCTGGAGAAGTTGTCCAGCCTGGCTTTCTCTTGCTTGGCTCCCAGGCACTCCAGGCCAAGGTCCTATCCAGTCCAGGCAGGGGCAGCAACAAGCCACAGGTTTGTGATGCAAGTGAGAGAGCGTGACTTCAGCTAAGCTGCTTCGCAAGAAGCAAAGATTAGAAGCATTTGCATATGATTCAGCTGTGAGCCATTTCTTTACGGGATATACAAATTTCAGTGTTCTAATAGACCGTGCCACCCTAGCTTTAGGCTCAACAAGTCAGTGGATAAACACATCAAGCCCGAGCTGGCATGACAGGCTGGAGGACTGTCGAGCAGAACAGGACACCGGCAGCGGGCATTTTATGAAATGGGCAGATGACAGAGAAATCAAAACAAAGCCTATTTCCCCACCTGCGTTTATCACAGAGGGCATCAGTTTACGCTGGGCCTCGCCTTAGCTCAGCTGGTAACTAGCATTAAAACATAGAAAGATATTTCACTGCATTCAATTACATGGGAGCTCGAAAAATAAAGACTCAGGCAAATGACCAAGGTTTTTCCGGGGTTCTGCTTCCATGCAGTAGAGACTATAAACTATTCTGAAAGAAACTGACCCATATAAGGCTGTAATTAACTATCCTACTGAAGGGCTATTACCCCAATGAATACACCAACCCCAGAGACTGCATTGATTCTTTAGGGCCTGGGTGATTGATCTCATTTTCCAGCCTGGGTTACAATCACAGGATAGAAATGGGGAGCTGCAGCAAACAAGGATCAGAAGGGTAAGGAGAGAAGATTCCTGAGCCCATCTTAAGAAGGACTATTGAAAAATACAATCGGTGGACTCAGGAGAGAGCGAGTTCCTTGCTACTGCAAATGCAAAAGCAGAAACTGGCCTCTAAGGCCCCTATTGATTTTGAGATTCTAGAAGGTGTAAGTCAAGATGTAGAAAAGAGGATGGCCCAGCTGTCAGGGCAGCAGAGCTGTAACTATGATGTTTTTGTTTCCCGGGTGCCTCAAGACCTACTAGCCCCTGAGGCTCAGGAAGTGGTTGGTTCAGCTTTATTCTTAGTTGGAATTTTTTGCCGTAAGTCAAAGACCCAAGTGGAAGGATGGAAGGATGGAAGGATGGAAGGATGGAAGGATGGAAGGATGGAAGGATGTGGGAGATGACACTGTAGGAAGTCGCAGAGGAACTCAGAGTGTGACTTGGGAGGTTTCCTCAGCCCTGAACCCCATGGTCTTGACTGAGTGGCAATGATTGCCACAGAAATTTTACCCCGGTTGGCTCAGTTCCCCCAGAATAGCAAATACACAGCCAAGCCTTGCCAGTGTTTGATCTATTCCCTAATTTTAACAAATACCTCAAGTGACACATAATGCTAAGGACCACTGGGGGAAGGAGAAGTCGAGAGCTATGCTGGCCTCAGCTCTTAATCTCAATTCCAGAAGCATTTACATTGGCTCCCAGCCCCATCTCATTTAAGGGGCTTGACCCAAACAAAACCTCAAACCAAAACCTTTCATTATTTCAGTTCTCAAAAGCAAAAACAAAAACAGAAAAAAAGAGGAAGGAAGGGTTGCAGACTAATTTCTTTCACAAAGACCCAATTAAATCCCATTTCTGAAGTTGCTCCAAATTTAATTCCAGGAGAGAGGCACTATCACTTGTGACTGATGTCTAAGTGCCATTTCATAGACCCAAAGAGATCCACAAGTTCATACTCAGATCACGGGAAACCATAAGATCCTCTTTCAACCATTTCCCACACTGTACACGCCAATGCACCTATTTGTAGGTGGGGGTGGTAATCTGAAATCCCCTCTCCCAGACTCCCAACATCCCAAACTTCTCACCCAGTGTAACCTTGGTTAAGGAGCATGGATAGCCCCAGTTGCATCCAAGCTTAACCAAATGCAGCTAAAGTGAACGTAACTCATAAAATGCAGGTGCTCTGACTGATTAGAGAGCACTGATGAGTCATCGGAATTAGACTTAAAAACTGACAAAATAGTGTAACTGTGGGGATTCTGGAAGTTTCCAATGGCTACCCCTTCACCCAGAAACTATCACTACAGGTTCACGGACCTTTGAATTTTACTATGAGGTATTCTTTCTCTAAAGCCAAATGTAGTTTGTTGAAAATTAAATATAGCCTTATTTCCCATAAGTATACCCAAATATGAATAATTTTAGCAGCTATATTGCAAGAGTAAGTTTTCATTGAAAATAAAGAAAAGCCTAAACAACTTTTATTGTCACAACAGAGTGACTAGTTTCGTAGGAGACCAACATTTTGCCTAGAGGATCCCTACGGGTCATCTTCGATGTACAAATATTGCCTCAAAAGCAAACCTCGTCTAATGGTAACCCCATCCCTTTCCTAGCCCTTTAATTAGAAAGACTCCAGAAAGGCAGAAATGTAGAGTGTTGGTAATTCCCACTGATTCTCCCTAAGCATTAGGCATACCCAGCCTCAGATGTGATGACAGCTTACCAACAGGAAGGTGACTGGTGGTTGTCATGGAGATCTGAGCCCGGCAGAAAGTTTTGCTGTCCAACAAATCTGTGGCCATGAAAAGATAAAGGACATTTAGAGCACCCCCTCCCCCCACCTCACAATAGAACACTGTGGCTCTTAGACAAACTGAATAAGAATGTAAAGGGCCTTAAGTGTCAGGGAGTTAGTTACCTACTGTGCTACCATAGTTGGTGTCATATAAATAGTTCTCGTCTTTCCAGGTGTTCATGATGGAAGGCTCTACAAAAAATAGAGAAGGAGAATAGTCAGCGATCTCTTTTCCCCAGGGAGAAGAGGCTGCGTTTTCTAATTCATTGTTCATCAACAAAGTATGGGGGGTGAGGAGTGGTCCTCAGAGACAAGGGATATGATTCTGCTTCAGCTGCGTTACTTTATAATAATGTTGTCTAATTTTCCTTTCAGCATCCTCGGGGAAATGGCCTCATCCATGTGTTCTGTACCTATTGCATTTTTAGGGAAGTGAGAGAAGTTGCAAGAATGGGAACCTGTCCTAGACCAAGTGGTTCCTGGGAATTTTCCTAACCTGGCTTGGCTTTGTTCTGCATTCTACTGCATAATCACCAGAATATTTTTACCCTAGAGTGTGGTGGGGGGGAAGGCCTTGTTAGGGATTAATTTATTTAAATGTATAATAAATAATTAATGAGGCCTTGGGGGGTTAATGATATTTCTTTCAGGAAGAGTCTTGTCAATCTTATCACAGTTTCTTCCTTGCTGAAATCCAGAGATTTGTCATCCAAGTTGGGTGACAGCCCCCTCCCTCTAGGATTTTTCCAATTAGCTTAAAGGATGACATAAAATTCTCAAAACAAAACCAAGGAGAAGGGGTGGACTGTGTTACTAAATCAAACAAACACCTTTTAAGAGTGAAGCCCCACTGCCCCATCGCAGAAAAGAAGTGCTCTTGTACTCTGTCTCTCTTTCTCTTTCTTCTGTGTGCTGCGGTAAACACCTCTCACTTTGACTGACTCTTCAGATTTCAGATTCAAAGGGAACTCCCCTCCACCTACCCCAAATGGAGCTCAACTCCTACGCAACCCCCAGATCTGGGCTGGTCTCCAACAGAAGCATTTTGTTTCTTGGCTAGCCAAAAGCTGTAAGATCTCTCACCTCGTCCTCACCAGAAACTTCCTGCTTTCTCCTCACCGCAGACCTAGGTTACCCTCAGCTCCCCTCCTTGCTGGGTTCTGAGTTTTAGGGCCGGGGTGTAAGCCACTGACTGAGTTTCATTTTGTTTTTATAGCACAAATGATACAAAACCTGACTTACTGGCTAAGTCCTCGTGTTTACGACATAGGGATTTAGCCGGTATTTTAGCTAATAGCTACATGTTTGGACACCCCAAGCCCAATCTCTTGGGGTTACACCCTCTCTCCTTGTTGGGTCACCTTGTACACCTGTTGTTGTCTCTGAAAACAAACTGAACCAAAGAGGTATGGGGGTGTTGGCCCCTCTATGAGCTTCTTCTCCCCTCCTCCTAGGGTGGACCTTCTTCTCCACCCTTCCACTCAGCTTTTCTGAACTGGCAACACAAGAATGTCTGGATGGTCAAGAAGGAATTATCAAGTTATTTGGGACCTCTCCAGTATTACCCTGGCTCCTTCGGTGGGGCTATCTGACAGGTCAAGCAGGGGAGGGGGTGCCATCCTCCTGACCAAGTCCTGCATCCATCTCTAGGGCAAGGCCAGGCCTGTAAAGCACAGAACATCCAGATGGCCCATCCCCTGGCCTCTGAAGAGAAAGGCAGGGCTAGCAAAGCCTAATTTGCATGCTTAGCAGCTATTGCTTTTTTCTTTAATAATGGTAGGCCAGCCCACTTATGAAAGGGTAAATAACTGCATGGGCCAATTTTGGCCCCAAGTGACTCACAAATCACCTGCAGGTCAAATTCTGTCCTTGGTGACTGGGACACATCCTCAGGGAGGTCTATGGAAAGCTTGGTTGGCCCACGTGGCTCCCAGGCTCCCAGGCATGAACATGGGGAGTGACTTAGGAGCAATAGTTGCTGCACAGTTTTATGATGGCTCATGGACTTTGGAGGACAGTCTCCAGGAGAGAGATTTAGGACAGGGGAAAGGAAACGAAAATGAATGTAGATGCTATGGGACTGTAGACTCTGCTCAGAGCCCAGCATTTTGTCCTTCATATAAAAACACACCTAAGGCAGGAGCTGGGTTGCAGGTACCTTTGTACATCTCTGCAGAAGCTCCCCAGGGCCCCTAAAAATTTGTTAACTACAATACCAAGTTAGTATATTCACCCTTTTTGTGAAACACACACCCATCAAGGGAGGAGGGAGAGAAGAGGAGACATTGCCCCTTCCTCTTCTCTTTCCAAACTTGGCCACTCCCCTGACACTTTTTAAGGTGGGGAGGCCCACCATATATTCTGCTTTTCCTTGGCTGCTGGCCTGAGGTCTGGATGATGCCACAACCAGGAGTAGGAGGCAGAGAAGTGTGGCTCCCCATAAGTCTATAAATTGGAAATAGGTGGCAGTCACTGGTCGCAAGGGCAAGAATGAGATTCATGGTGGGGGTGGCCCATCAGAGACAGCCAGGGAAAAGGCCTCCCTGTGTTTCCTGCAAAAACTTGCCCCCACATTCTCTCTTGCCCTCTCCCAACTGTCCTCCCCGGAGCTTTGCCAGGCTAGGTTGGCTCCCTTTGTCCACTACTACTCACCAGTTTGTTCAGTCTTGACAATGACATTGTGTGTGGACTGGAACAGGTCACTACTGCACTGGCCTGTGAAGGACAGATTGGGATAGTCAGAGAGGGCCCAGATGGAGCCAGAACTGGATGCTTAAATAAGGACAGAACTGGCATCTTTGCAGAGCTTCTGCCATCCTACTGCCTGGTCACCTATGTTTGTTTATGGGAGGTGGTTTCTCTGTCAGCCTCTACAAACTCAAGCCTGCAGTCTCTGACCCCAGAAAATTGGGAATCTAAGGCACTACCTTAGAAGCAATTATTTGATGTGGTATAGTAAAGGCATTCAGTATGGTGGAAATAGAACTTCAGAAGCCCAGTTTTTCAACTACTAGCTATGAGGAAGGTGTGTGCACTTTACCTTTCTGGGTCTCAGTTTCCCCATCTGTAACAAGATTAAACTAGATAAGGTCACTAGATGACTTCTAAGGTGCTTTCCCATACTAAGATATGATATGAAAATGAAAATGTAGGGAAAAACCTTTTTAACTAGCTTGATTCTTCTTTGATTTAAAATCTAATCAATGCCATCATGATTACATCCAATCTGTGAGATATGTCTGGATAAAATGTGGTGACTCTTTCCTTATTTATGCCTCAGCACATGTACAAGCAGTACACATCACATGACCTTGTTTGCTTGCAACTCCTCTCCCATTATCATATATAAAAGCATATATATGTATGCTTATATATATATATATATATTTGTAAATGCATATGAATCTAGTCTGTTTTCTTCCCCAGACAGATTCTAAACATCTCAAGAACAGAAGCCATGCCTTTAACCTCTCTGACATTCAGTCTTCCCACCTGTAAAATGGGCACAATATTTACTTTGTCATAAAGTTATTAAATGAATTAATTCACTTACAGTGCCTAGTATAAGTAAATACTCAATAAATGTTAGTTGATAGAAGGTCTACACAAAGGCAAACAACAAAAGAGTGAGCAATCTGCCTGGACATTAGGAACTCAGAGGCTACAGCAGCATGCGATGAGACCAAACAAGTCATGGGAAGTCAGAGACAGAAGGTCTAAGATGGCCACAGCACCTCCCAGGCCTCCCTGCCTCAGACCTCAATCAGGGCAAAGCTTTAAAGGAGTGGATTTAATTGGGGGGTGGAGGTAAATATTTTTAATTCTTCAAGTGTAAGTCTGATCTTTTTGAAGATCCCTGAGGGTTATTTATAGAGCCTTGTTTGGTTTGATTCTAGTCAAAGAAAAAAGAGCAGCCACCAATGTGAGGTGGGTGGGAAGCAGGGCATGGCCAGGGAGCTGAATGACATCATCTAAAATGGCCACCGCAGCCACAAGCTCTGCTGCAAGGCCCCAGGTCCTCTTCAGTGTTGATGGCTGTTGCCAGGGTATGACTCTGGTTCACAGCCCTGGAGCTCATGCCGCCCAAGTCCCGGTTACTTGCCCAAACATGGGTTCTACCAAGACATAAATGCCTTTTCCAGTGCAGACAGGCCAACTCCCTGTTCTTAAATATTGCTACTTTTCAGGATGCCCATAGTTCTCAGAAGAGCTAGATTTTTACAGCCACTATCAGGGGAACCTTATGCCAGTGTCAAAACCATTCTGCAAGGTCAGTTGTCCACCCTACTAGGTCTTACATGTCAGTATAGGATATGTTCGTGTATGAATAATCTACCACTCAAAGACAACATCTGGAATGGTGGCCCATCCCTGTGCTAGGGGAAGCCTCAGAGAGACATCTGGGGCATTAGGGCAACAGAAATTCCAGAAACCACCACAGAAACATTCCCCATACACGTGTCTAGACCATATGTTCTAACCCTTTTTTTAAGTTACAGACCTTTTAAGAATCTGCTGAAGTATTGTGAGTTTTTTCCCCTCCCAAAACACAAACATAGTTCTAATTTCATATATCTTCTTACCACCCTTAGGACCCTATCTTAAGAACCTAGGTCTAGAAGGTTCTTTGTGTGTGTGTGTGGGGGGGGTTTTGTTTTGTTTTGTTTTTTGTTTTTTGTTTTTTTTTTTGTAACCATGATGATCTTTTTAACAAGCAAGTGACTGGACTGTTTGCAAAGGAAAGAAAACATTTTCCAAGGATAGTAAGTATTCTACGAATTCCTAGCCAGCTTTTGTCTTCTTGAAAATTATCACCATAAGGAAAGAATTAAATTACACTGGCATTTATAAGGGATTAGGCACACCAGGTACCCTATGCTTCAATCCTGTCCTTTCATCTTCCTTCCATTTCTCTGTCTTGGGACATGGTAATTTGGAGGTGAGACCACTCTTTCTTGTCCCTGACAAAGAATCCTGTCATCTGCAGAATCTCTATTCTTCCAGCTGGCTCCTAGCAGGGTAGGGAGAGACACAGAAAGAGAGAGTCACCGTTCCACTTCAGATGCTGCAAGTTGCTGTAGAGGAGCTGCCCCGCCGTCCCTGCCGCCCGGGTGAACTCCTGCAAACTCATGCTGCAGAGGTGCTCGCCGTTGATGTCGAACTCTTGGAAAGGGATACAATTGGCATCCAGCTGGTTGGTGTCCAGGAGGTGCTGGAGCCACTCCCACACCTGGTACTTGGTCCAGTACTGAGGATGAATTTCATGCCACTGGCCTCCAAAAAACCCACTGGAAACTGCAAAACAGGAAGCAGCCTCATGAGTGACCCCTGGCTGTTCCTGGCCATAGTATCTGACACAGGGATGTACTGTTGGCTGCCAGATATCTCAGAGACACAACCACAGTCCGTGTATGTGCCAGCATGGGTGATGGAGCAGAAGTGCATTTTCATGTCCTCCCTAGCCTGCTACCTACCCCTGGACACTGGATGAGGACAAGAGAGCTGAAGTGCTCAGAGCTCATCCCCCACCTCCCCCAAAGTAAAATATCATGAAAGCTAGAGCATTGCTATCATTTCAGCAATTTATTAGCTTATTGTCCATACCCAAATCGTTCTCTTCCTCTTCTCTCTCACTCACTCTCTCTCATTTTTTCTCTCTTATACATACACACACACACACACACACACACACACACACACACACACCACCAAACTCAGACCATTTTCAACTAAAAATAAGGCCTGAAATTAAGGTTCTTTTCTCTACGATGCCTTTGCTTTTCCTCAAAGTGGTCCAGATTATTGATCTACTAACTGGACTGATATCCCACTGCCCCAGCCTAGTCATTATAGCTATCATGATGTCACTTCCCTACTCAGTTACCTTTAGTAGTCCTCATCACCCACTGAAATTAGGTATAAAGCTGCCTAGCTAGGCATTGAGGCTCTTCACTAACTCTTCTTCAAGTAACCAATAACTTGTCTTTTCTCTATGCTGTTCTTTCAGCTAAGCTTGTGTTCTACCTCTCACTCCTGTTGAATTCCTACCCATCTTTCGAACTCTGACCATCCTGTAAAATCATTCCCAATCCCCCCAACTTGCTTCAAGGGCTCACTGTCCTCTTACCCTCCAGGAGACATGCTTGGTATTTCTAATGGCTTTGTCATGTTCTGCTTTTCTGTACAGGTCTCTAAGTGCCGTCTTATTCTCCTTTGTAAATTGTATGCTTGAGGTCACAGACTGTTTTACTTGTCTTTGTATCACCTAAAAAATGACCTCAGAGACTTTGTCATAGTAGATGCTCACCATATATTTATTTAATGGAATGTATTTTTGAAGAAGAAATAAGGTAGGCATCTGAGGAGTTGGGAGGTACGTTTAAAAGATGGTACATTCACAAGATGGTACATTCAGATGCCAATGAAGAAGTGCAGTTCATTAAACTGGATAAATATTGCTGAACCTAATATGTGCTAACCATCTGTATATGTGACTCATGCTCACTTAAAAAAACATTCCATAGTCTGCCCGAAGTTCTGCGGCAATGGAAAAGACAAACCAGCATCTGAGGGCATGTAACAGGGCTGAGAGAGCTTACAGTTCCCTTGGAAATAGATGTTGGGAAGGAACTCTCTTTCAGGAAAGATGAGTGAAAGGGGCAAGGGGCAAAGACTATTGCATCCCACCAAGCTGAAGCAGGGGAAATCCAACAGAACGTGACACATGGATATTCCAACAAATTCAAGGGTGGACCAGTAGAAGAAAATGTAGTGCAAGAAAACTGTCTCTAACTTTTTCTTCAAGGTCACGCCAGATCAGTTCTTCTCAAACGTGATCGTGAATCACCAGGGAATACTGTTCAAATGCCGATTCTGATTCAACAGGTCTGGGGCAAGGCCTGAGTTTCTGCATTCCTAGCAAGCTTCCATGTGATGCTGATGTTGCTGGTCTATCGAATTACAAGTAGCTAAAGGCCTCAGAAAGGTTTAACTCCCATAATGCCCATGGTCCAGCCCACAACACCCTCAGAGGAGAGACTGAAAGGGAAATGTTTCTGACCCAATCCCTCTTCTTCCTCATTCATTCAGAATCCATCCATGGCTTCCAGACCTCAGAAGCACTAAGAGCAGGAGGTCAAGTTTATCTAGCACACAGAGGTGACTGCCGTTAGTAATACCCACCACTCACAGTATGCACTTAGCTCCTCGTACCTCATGGCGAAACAAAAGCAGCCCCTGGCCCACAACGTGGGCTCTAAAGAGGAAGCCAATAGTCAGGGGTTGGGGGAGGAATGGAACAATCTAATCTAAAAATCTAATTATATGGAAATAGTCCCAAATACACAGACCTTGGGCTGGATCTTTCCATTTCCCCCAATTTTTGGTGCCTCACAAATAAAGCTGTTTAAGGATGGGATATATATTTTGTGGCTCCCCAAGTCTTTCATCTTTCTTTTTCTAAAATAATTGTGTTGCTATGACAGTACAGCTCTGGTTTTGACAACAAGAGGCACCAACTTTTAATAACCTAACAGCACATCTAGAATAATCTCATCTGCAAACTTGATACGGTCTAGATTAAAAGATAGTCCCTGCTAGTGTATCTTGTTCAAACTTGGGAGAATCAGGGATTTTTGTCTGAAGCTGACTGGGGAGATTCCGCATCAGACAGAGAACCCACCAAATTCCTGAAGTTTCAGGAGAAACAATAAAAATTCCTATGAGTTCACATCCTCTCTGCCATTCAACTGATCTCCTTTTCCTCTTCAGTCTCAATCAAGGCTGAGCTTTCTTTGAGGTCTCTGGAATTTAAGAAATAAAAGTGGCACCCCAGTTCTACTTCCTGCTGAACACATTTCCCCAGCTTTCTCCAGAGCAAGCAGGAGAAATGCTGCCTTCATCGAGAGGCCAGGGTCCTGGGGATGCCAAAGACTTCCAGTTTTATTTGGAATCCACTTTCTGGGTCCTCACAGGGTATTTGAGGCCCACAACAGAAAATGCAACTGCCCAGAAAGTGCAGCAGTTTGGGGGGACAGGTGACCGAGTAAGGGAAGCTCACCTGCTCACCCTTTCAACCATGTTTGACTAGGATTCCAAATTAAAAGAGGTGGAGCTCCACATGGATTAGCACTCGCTGCAGAATAACTCTCCCATTATCCTCCCACTTCTGCCTCCTCCCAAGCTCTGGTCACCAACAAACCATCTCCATATTTCAAAGCAAACTTGAACAGCAGAGCCTCTGGCAGGCAGATTAGCAGTGGGTGTGGATTGAGAAGAGGCCCAGAGCTCCCTAAACTCACTGCTGTTGGATGCACAGCTGAATGCCTAAACTGGAGAGCTCTAAATTGGGGTATGGGGTTCCCGATTCAGCAACAACTTGATTCAGAGATTCAACTTGATTCAGGGATTCAACTTGATTCAGGAAGCCACAGGCTTGATCACCAAACCCTCTATACGCCCCACCACCAGGTCCCCTCTTCTTCTAATAGACGTGTTCTAGATTAAAGCTCTAGGGAGAACACCTGTTCTCCTTACAAATCTCCTCTCCCCTTGCAAAGAGAGGCCACTGGAAGACGAAAAAAGAAAGATTGAACTGCTATAACCCTCTCCTTCCTAACCTCCATGCACGCGCACATACACACACACACACACACACACACACACATACCCTTTCTCTCCTAGCCTATCTTGATATCCCAGCAAAACACTATTAAAAGCTCCAACAGAGAGTCTTTCCTTTAGGCATCTCTTCTACCCCCCTTCACTGCCAGGCTGTCAATCTGGAACCTTGAATTTTGGGAGGAGGCAATAGAATATCTCAAACGAGCTTTTGTCTGGAACGCTGGGGGCTGGTAGGGAACTCCAAAACTGAGTTTTCTCCATTCCTTCTTGTCCCACATCTTCTGCTGTAAAGCCTATATTTTTCAAACATTAGGTTGTGAGAGGAATTAAAGCAAAGAGCCCACACAGCACAGCAGTGACACCAACACCCACAGGCCCTCTTACCATTGCACGTGGAGTAGCTGTCTGTCCAGGCTGGCGGCTGGTGAAGGAGGTTGTTGCCGGGGTTGAGATTCATTACACCACCTCCTTCCAGAATCATGATCTGTTAGGGGATCAAACAGCCTGTTCAGTCAGTGCCTCTTGGACAAATGTCATTGGAAAGTGCAGATCACAGAGTAAATTTAGGAAGAAAATAAAGAGAATTTGTCCTTCCACCCATTGCCTGCCACCCATTGCCAAAGCGTTTTTTGTAAAAGCAAAACTCACAGCAATTAAAAATTTCCAGGTTCAATTTTCATATGCATGAGGCAAGTTTTTACAGCCACCCATTCATAAATGAATAATCTCTGATCAGGAATGAAGCGGGAGGAAAATGCAATACCTGCTCCCAGGGCGAGGCTGGCTGGCATCCAAGCAGTTTTTTTTTTTCTTTTTTTTTTACAAAAGTGAAAATGCCAAGGAGATTTTATTTAAAGTATTTAAAGTGCAATTTCAAACAATGAAAATCCAAGCTGGTGGCAGCACAGCCCCAGCACCTGTGTGGGAGCTCGGACTGCAATCGCACCTGCACACCCAGTAACAAGTTTCCTCAGTGCGGGTATCTGCCACAGGCTGGGCTGGTCATCAAAGGGCCTCAGTCATATTTTAATAGAGCTCTTCAAGTATCTGGCTTTGTGATAATATCAGGAATCAGTTGGTTTCTCTGACAGACACTGCCCATTTCTGGTAAAGAAAAAAATTTTTCCTTTCTGGTAACAATTATAACCAGTTTTTTTTCTCCTGTTAGAGACCTGGAGAATTTAGTGGGTTTCCAAGCTGACCTAAGTCAAAGTGGCTTTCTCAGTCTGTGGGATCATTTTTTCAGTAAAGGACTTGGGAGAAGAGATTTCTTCCATGGGCCTGTTTGGGTTTATTTTATAACAATGCAAACATTTTACACTTCAGAAATATTGTCTTCAATTGTCCAGTATTTATAATGTCCCTATTCCCAAGCGGGCACCCTCCACCTTTCAGAACAGATCCCCAACCGTGTGTTCAGTCATTTAAACGAAGAGCAGCCTGTTTCCAGATCGCTATTGGGCAATACCCAGAGGCTGTAAAAGTCACTTGCTCTTTATAAAATGTTGGGGTGGGGAGAGGAATTCAGCTTTATAGCAGCAATTCATGGAAAATTTTCTGCTTGTTTTGGGGAAATTTTGCATCCTCGGGTATTACCAATGTCCACAGGATTACAATTGCCAACCCAGAGGATTTTCAGCCCTTGGCATTCCTTCCCCTAATTTAGCTACGGCTCCTCTTGTTCTGAGTAAGGCCTATTGGGGGAGAAGAGGGGTCTGCAAAAGGCATACGAATATATTCATGTATTCATTTATTCAACAAATATTTATCAGCCCAATAATGGGCTGGGCACTATTCTAGGTGCTGGGGAGAGAGCAGTAATTAAAGGTTGAACTAGGCTACACACAAACATGTATGATGATTATTAGCTTCATCATCACTGTTGCTTGGTAAATAATTA
Source organism: Homo sapiens (assembly GCF_000001405.40). Classification (NCBI taxonomy): domain Eukaryota; kingdom Metazoa; phylum Chordata; class Mammalia; order Primates; family Hominidae; genus Homo; species Homo sapiens. Next base: position 34,641,211 of record NC_000011.10, on the reverse strand, counting down.
GGACTGAATCCAGCCTAAGTAGAAGGTGGAGAAGGAAAGACAGGGTAGGGATGATGGACATTATAACAGCAAAGAGCCACTGGGTGGGAAGATAGGAGGACTGGATTATATGTCCTGGCACCATGTATAGGAGCTTTGAAGCCAGAAGAGCTGGGGTCGATTCCAAGCCTTCCTACTTACTAGCTAAGGTTAGTACTCACCCAGACAAGTTACCTAACCTCTCTGAACCCCAGTTTTCTCATATGCAAAATGCAGCTAATCATACCTCGTCTGTACATTGATTGGAGATTAAATGAGTTTCTGTACCTCGAGCACCTGGCACAAAGTAGGGCACGAATACACGTCAGGTGTTATCATGAGGAGCGTCACTAGCTCTGTGGATAGCCTGAACCAGAAATGATGCTGGGCCTCAGTTTCCCCACTTGAAAATTTACAGATGGTGACTATACTGATCATAAGTTCCTTTTCTGAAAAGCTCTTTGATTCTCACCCTCAGAGAAAGAAAACAACCTCAAGTCAAACCTTCTTTCCTTTTTCATAATAACTGGGTATTTTCCCATCCAACTTTGTAGAGCAATTGCCCTAAAGCTAAGAAATCAGATTGGGAACTTCAAGACGAAAGAAAATCTCTAAGTCCCCAGACCGGGTGGCTGGTGGAAGGAGGGGGGCCCAGGGCCCAGTGTCTTGTTTGCTCAAGGCTGGGCTTGTTCCTTGCTAGCATTTGCTCAACCACAAGCAGTGGAAAGGTTACTGTTTAACCCTGAAAGGGCTGAAGCTCAGAGCCCAGCCCATTTGCATGGAGGGATTGGCCTTCCAGGCTTAGGGAGGACAGGCAGGGAAAGGCTTCTCTCAAATTCTTTCACAAGGATTTGCCTGCAGGGTTGTTTCAAAGTGGTCATTTCAGTGGCAGCACCTGCCTGGGCCAGCTATGCTTCCTGACAAGCAGAAAGCAGGGTGGCGTGGAGGCTGTGCACCCAGGCTTTGGAGCTGGAGAGATGCAGGCTCAGATTCCAGTTCCCCTGCTTACTGTGGGTGACCCTGAACCAGTGCCAAATCTGTCTAGCCGCAAACATTCTGTTCCTCACTTTCTGTACCTGATAAATGGGAACAACACCAAACTCAAAGGGCTGTAAGAATCAAATGAGGTCATGCACATAGAGAGCTTGGCAAGTAGTGAAAAAAAAAAAAAGAATTTAATAAATGTTGCAGAACAATATGGGCCAGTTCTCCACCTGTGGCCAAATGCCCACAAGCCCCTCTCCTCAGGGCCGACGTCATTTTCCACCATGACCTTCTGGAAACATCCAGAACTTCTCCCAACCCCCAGAGATGCCTTTAAGACTACAGGGTGGCAGCTGCCCCATCACCATCCTCCTGCAAAAAGATGGCCTGTGCATAGCCCTGCTCCCTGCTGGCACTCCCTTTCCAAGGGAAAGCAGCCAGCATGGTGAGGGGCCCTTTTTTACAGGGCACATTAAGTGGTTTCCACTCATAAAAGAGTTTGTGTGGCTTAACCCTTAGTGAGTCAGAGTTCGCTTGAGCTCACCTGGGCTTGTAAGCAAAGAAGGTCAGCATTTCCAACTGGGCAGGGAGCTGCAGGGAAAGATGTCCTCAGGGTGGGCACATGAGGCCCAGGGCCAGTGTAGCAGAAGGGCTTTGGCCGAGTCCTACCCTCCTCTGAGGCATAGTTTTTCAGGCGTAGAGTGAAGACACTTGCCCCAACAGCCTCACAGGACTGTTGAGATGGAATGAGATCGTGGATAACAAATGTGACTTGAGAATTGTAAAAAAACCTTATTATAACGAACTCACCCATACTCCCATATGCTAATGTAGACTTTCTGTAGTATATAGTAATTGCTTTCTGGGGTATAAAAAGCAATCCTTTTAATTAGAAAGTAGGGGAATTATTGAATGCTCTTATTTCAGCTCCCTACTTTGCTTTCAGCATAGCTTTCATTATTTTCCTTAAAAAAAAAATACCATCAAATGTGTGGAAGTAGAGACTTCAGAATCTGAGATTCCTGGGTTAGACTCTAGGTCCCATCTTTCAGCCATGTGACCTTGAGCACGTTAACCTTTCTGAGCCTCCATTTCTCGCACTGGTTTAGAAATGGGAGAGCTGGAGGGGGTTGCGGGGGAGTATTTGTTTCTCCTAAGCCTAAGGGCTGTTTTGAAAGATAAATAATTATAATGGGTCTAAAGGTGTCTTGTCTAGCCCCTGGCAAACATGTCCCCCATCAAAATCAGTTTCCTTTCCCTTCTTTAAACATTAATTCTCAAGGTGTTCCTCTAACACATTTTATTTCTTCCAGGACTGAATCCCCAGTTCAGAGCCTAAGTGAGAATGACTCCACCCTGGGAGTCAAAAGCAAGCTGGGAAAAGAACTCACTTCTCCCCATCTTCTGCTGGAGGCAGGAACCTCGGATGGGGAGGCAGAGGAGGAATCCTCAGCCACCCTAGGTAGTGGTTAAAAGCAGAGTTTCTCAACCTCTCCACCACTGAAATGTGGACAATCCCTTCTGTGGGGGCTGGCCTGTGGATTGTAAGATGTGTAGCAGCACCCCTGGCCCCTACCCTCTAGATGCCAGCAGCACCCCCTCCACACACACCATGTCCCTGAGGCAAAAACCACCCCCAGTGGAGAATACTGGTTAAAAGCTTGTGGAGGCAGACAGCTCAGGCTTTGCTCTTACTGACGTGACAAACTTAGGCTGTCCCTTAGCCTTCCTGGGTGCCATTTCCTCTCCCGGAGAATAGGCATAGGCTTGCTGGAGGGTTAAATGAGACAAGGCACCTCAAAGCCCACAGCAGAGTGCCTGGTACCTATAGAGTAATTGCCTGATCTGTGAAGGTTTAAGAGAATACACTGGGTATCAGAGCCACCTTTGTCTGTTCCCAGGTGGTATGTATTCTGGGGAGATTGTATAAATTATTACCTGAGCTATTACAAACTGCACACACAAAGAAAAACTATACCTCTTATTTCAAACTCAAAGAGTGAAGTGTGACCGGGTGCGATGGCTCACGCCTGTAATCCCAGCACTTTGGGAGGCCGAGGCGGGTGGATGACTTGAGGTCAGGAGTTCGAGACCAGCCTGGCCAACATGGTGAAACCCTGTCTCTACTAAAAATACAAAAATTAGCTGGGTGTGGTGGTGCATGCCTGTAATCCCAGCTACTCGGGAGGTTGAGGCAGGAGAATCGCTTGAACCCAGGAGTCAGAGGTTGCAGCGAGCCGAGCTCGAGCCACTGTACTCCAGCCTGGGCAACAGAGCGAGACTCTGACTCAAAAAGGAAAAAAAAAAAAAGGAGTGAAATGAAATGTAGATTATCCTGAGATTTTTTTCATATATATTTCCCTATCCTTTTTCATAGGTAGGAACAATTGGAGGGAAGTGTATTTGATTTTGAGACACTACTGATTGTCCAGAGGTTGACATTTTTCCCAAACTTCACCTCTTTGGGCAGAAGTTTGTAAGACTCACAGTTGTGGGGCAGAATCGTACTCTTTATTTGAAGAGAAGGAGCCCTGTGTGCTACCCAATAGACTGAAGAACTGGCAAGTACAACATGCCAGGCTTCTTGCCAAGACCTATTTAGCCTTAGGCAGCAAGTCCCCTACAATGTGCCATAAGCTCCCCTAAAATTATGGGCCACTGGGGCTTGGCCAATCTGAAATTCTTTTTGCAGCAAGAAAGCACTGTTCTGTGCTAAATGACCAGCCTGAGACATGGCGGGAGATAGGCCAGCCTCCGCATCTCACTTCTTTTAAGGGCAGTTTCAGGTACACACAAACTCCCGCAGTGCCCTGAGTTGCCAAGCACTTGGACTGCTTCTGTGCCAGCCACACAGAGACACATCCCAGCCCCATGCGCCTGCTTCTCCAGGCTTGCTTCGCCAAGGGCTTGCTTCCAGAAAAGCACCACCCTGACCACCATGCACAGCCTGGACCCATGAAGGGGAGCAGGGGGAACAGAGCACTTGGTCTAACCCTAAAGTTTAAGAGTCTCCTATTTTGGCTGCTGGTCGGTGGCAAATATGGGCATAGCAGAAGGTAAAGCCTAGCCACAGAGACTGAATCCCACTAAAAGCTGAGTTGAGAGGACACATTCAAGAGTGTGAGGAGCTTGAAAAGCAGCCTAGTAGTGCCGCATGTCTTTTTTTTTTTTTTTTTTTTTGAGATGAAGTTTCGCTCTTGTTGCCCAGAATGGAGTGCAATGGCGCAATCTCGGCTCACCACAACCTCCACCTCCCAGGTTCAAGCAATTCTCCTGCCTCAGCCTCCCAAGTAGCTGGGATTATAGGCATGCACCACCACGCCCGGCTAATTTTGTATTTTTAGTAGAGACTGGGTTTCTCCATGTTGAGGCTGGTCTCGAACTCCTGACCTCAGGTGATCTGCCTGCCTTGGCCTCCCAAAGTGCTGGGATTACAGGCGTGAGCCACCGGGCCCGGCCGTGGTGCCACATGTCTTGAGGGAAGCTCTTAAAAGAATAAGGGCTCATGATTCAAACGGCCAGGGTTGAAATCTTGGTACTGTGGCTTGGTGGGCTATGTTGACCTTGGAGAATTTCTATCCTCTCTACCACCTCAGTCTCCCCACATAACAAAATTCCACTTTGGAAGGTGGAGCTAATATGAGGACTAAATGAGATTATTTGTAAAGTCCCCAGCATAACGTCTCATATGTAGCAAGTGTCTAGTCAATGTCTATGCTTATTAGAGGGTCTGCCCATGAGTCTCTGTTTAAACTGTGTTGGCTGGCACTGGGGACATCCTTGTGGTAGGAGTAGACTCCTCAGAAGCAGGATCATGGTTGGGAGCCCCAGGCTCTGGAGTTACATGGCCACAGATCAAATCCTGGCTTTGCCAATTTCCTAATGGGGCAAGTTTGGACAAGTTATTTAACTTCTCAGGACCTCAGTTTCCTCATCTATAAAGTAGAGATGACATGAAAAGTGTTGTCGAAAGACAACAATGAAATGATACCTGTAAAATGCTTGGAAAAGCATGACACATAGTAAGTATTTGATAAATGTTTGCTGGTTTTTATAATAATCATAATCATACTTGTAGTTTTTATTTTATTGAACTCTCAAGGAGGAAATTGAGAGCCAAGTTCATTTCGAGCAAAGCTTCAAAGCTCTCTTATCTGTACAGTCTTCTCCAGTTCTGGCTGACTGGCACAGTGGAGCCTAGGACTAGATCTCATGCCTCCCCACTCCCTATTCCGAGAGCTGCTGTGTAGACGTACCATTATGGCTGAACTATAAACAGCGGGGCTTGGACTCTGCTTGCAGAAGCCATGATGTTCCCCTCTGGCTGGGCACAGTTCTTACCCAAAGGACGAAAGCCATCCCTCCTGTCCCTCTTCCTCTCACTAGACACATTGCCAAGGCTGCCAAGAACAGTGGTAAGGCATATGCTCCTAAGCTCTGTGTTGTCAAAGGCTTTGCACTCCCACATACCATAGCTGGTTTGGAGGTGCAAAAAAAAAAAAAAAAAAGACCAGGAAGAGCAGCATGTCTAAAACGCAAGCTCCTGATAGAGAACGGCTAAAGGTTTCTCTTTCCTCTGAGTCCCTTAGCACAGAGAATGCTCAAATACTGCAAAGAATAAGGTTTGCTACTTGGGAGGCTGAGGCAGGAGAATCACTTGAACCCGGGAGGTAGAGGTTGCAGTGAGCTGAGATCGCACCATTGTACTCCAGCCTGGGCAAAAAGAGTGAAACTCCATCTCAAAAAAAAAAAAAAAAAAGAATAAGGTTTCGGATTGGGGCTAGGGCTAATAGGGACAGAAAAGCAAGAAAAAACCCTGGGCCACTGGCAGGGAACTGGAACCACACATCCCAAGACCCAGGAGGCTCTGCTCAGCCTCGGGATTCCTAACAAGCCCAAGGACTGCTCCACTGGCCTCCCTTCTTAAATATACAGAGCGAACCTTCCAGAAGAGACCAACGCAGGCCAGCTTGGGCCTGCTCAGCTGGAGGGAGGTCTTTCTTTTGCTCAGTGATGGGGCTACTGAGACTCAGGATTAAACACTTTAAAAATAATAATAATAACTATATTATAGTAATTAGGACTTACTGAACACTTAAAATGTACCAGCTCTGCACTGCTGGTTTAAACAGATTATCTCAATCAATGCTCACAACAACTCTAGGAGGCATTATGTCATTTAACAGATGGCCTCTCTGAGGCACAGAGGAGTTAGGTGACTTGTTCAAGGTCACACAGTTTAGAAAGAATTGGAACTGGAAGAGAATTCAAACTCAGATTGTCTTGCAATAAAACCTGGGAACTGGGCCACTCTCTGCTGAGAAGAGGGTGCTTTGCCAGAGAAGACTCATTCTCACTTTGACTCCCATTCTAGACATGGTCACAGCATTCTCCCTGTGCCGTCTGCTGCCTTACACCTTTATCAAGCTTATATACAAATATATGTATATATATTCATATGCATGCATAAATACATACGTGCATATATAATGTAAATTATCCCCCTATGACTCAATAAAGTTATTTTAATTTTGTATTTGGGAAATCGACTGGTCCATAATTGTTTATGCTTTACCTGAATCAGACCTCAGGCCAGACAGCATGGTTTGCTCCTGCTGCAAGGGTGAAGGTACACTGGGAACCACCAGGGCCACGGAGCAGATCTTAACCAGGGCTTGCACCTGCATTCCCTGTCCCCAGCCCCAGGGGATTGAGAGTCAAGGCCACCATCAGCCTTCTTCCTAGCTCCCTTATTCATCCAACCACATTATCCCCAAACTGCCACAGAACTGGCTGCCATGTGGGCATTTTTACCTCTGAAGCCAAAGGAGCAATTAGTCCTTTTAAATAATTACTTTTGTGATGACAGCGATACCCACACCATTCTCAGTCCTTAATCAAAGTTACCAGCAGGTGAATTCACAGCATTTGCCCTAAGGATGTTGCAACAGCTTACTGACTTCCTGTTTCAATATGACTGTCGTTTCAAAGGACTACTCCCAAATAAGAGAAAAAAAAATCCATGTACATGTGAAAGGCAACTGAATATAATACATACAATCATTTGTGTTTTTACAAATGAATTGAATTGTGAATCAAGCTTGGGGAATGTATTTGATTCTCTTGGGATTACATCACAGATAATTTCATAGCCTTATAATGTGTTTTGAAACAGACATTTTTCACGTTCCCAGGGGCAACATCTGAGGTATTATTGCTGGGGTTTCAAGGGTTTTCATGACCAATAATGCAGCACTGGGAGGCCAAGTCTGGATCCATTATAGGTACACTTTATTGACTGTAAGCCATTTGGAAATATACATAGTATGCTGATCTTTATCAGTCTTGGTGTCAGACCCAGGCTAGGCAGCACATACTGACAGTGGCAGGCACTCAAGTTGATCAAAAGACAAGCTTGCCTAAGATGACCCCCAGGGCCTTTATCAAACCCATCAGATATGATTAAGAATAGGGCAAGCTTCAGATTGTAAAACATCACAGAGGCTTTTGAGGCCTCAAAAGAAACTTTGACTCTCCTCTTCTTCCAAACATTTACATCCTCCTGGTTTTGCTTGTTTTCTGTGGGCCTCTGTGGACAACCTATCACTGTATTATTTGCCAACTTGAAATAAAATAGGTCCTAATGCTCAGTACCCCCATGTTGTTAGAGTCAACAATGTTTGGCTACTGAAACCCCAGATCTCTAAACTAAAATCTGCATTTCTGAGAACCTCCCTTAACGAAGTCTTGAACACTCTCGCCATTGAGATTTTCTGGTCTATATAGACTTACCCACTTGCCTCCCTTCCCTTTCCCACCACAAGATGATCAACTCCAGGAGATACCAGCCTTGAAAGAAATGTCCATAAATGCAAGCAAGTCCTTATAAAGTTAGAGACAAAAGATTCAATGTAGAGAATTCAACCTCTAATCCATCTGCAGATAACCTACTATTATATTATTTGCCAACTTGAGGGAATTGCTTAGTTCTATTAATACCAAATGGTCAAATTCAACAATAATTGGATACTCAAAAGTATGAGTTCTGAAGTCCGAACAGACAAATCTGGCCCCAGAATATAGCGCTTGCAGAGGATCTCTCTGATGGTTACTTGCATCAGGAGCATCTCAAGGCTGGCCAAGCCACCCTAACCCCATCCCACCTCCATCTCAGTCCTTCAAAAGATTACTTAATTACCCTGGACTTAAGCCCTCATACAGAAGACAATTAGTCTCTCAGCTTTCAGCAGAAAGAAACTATTACCAAGAAATGCTTATCCGGCCATTACAATATTGTCTCAGACCCTCTGTAATTCATACATATTTACCAAGTGTCTACTAGATGCTGGGCACTTTGCTAGGTGCTGGCGATACAATAGTTAACAAAACATAGACGCTGCCCTACCCTGATGGACTATTCACAAGGACACGGCTTCCAAAATAATAGTGGCTCCTTCCAAAGTCATCTGAGCTCATTCCCCACCTCCTGTTGTGAATGGAATGGGGCAAGAGCAGAGAGAGCCGGGCAACCCTCTCTGGCATTTGAGAATGACCAACCTTGAAAAGAATTTCAGCTAGGCTTAAAAGCAGGACCAATCCTCTTCTCTCCGGCAACCCCATGCCCTTGCCTTCACAGAAAACTCTGACTAGGACGTGGAGTTGGCAGAGAGGATAATGCTTCTGAGTTTCACAAAGCAGCCTGAGCCAAAACCAATCTCCACTCAGGGCAGAATAAAGCAGTGGGTTGTCTGGATGGCTGAATGTCTCTCTCTGAGACAATGGTGTGTTTATGTGTAGGAGGGTCAGGAGCAGGTTGTTAACATAAAACCCACCGTAAACAGAGCTGTTAATTCAGTTGCTGGCAGGGGCTTCTGTTATCTTCTGAATACCTCCCAGAGGGTATAAGCCCTACCTTTTCATTTGAGTTGGCAGCAGAGTTATTTTTTTGCACCTGTTGCTCTGCTCCGATAACAACGCAGTTAAGCATTGATTTGTAGGAAAATAAACAGAAAAAAGCAAAGAAAGGCATCTGCCCAAACAGCCTGAGCTGGTTTGACTGAGTGTTCATGCCAATTTGTTTTTCCTATAAAAACCAAAGAAAAACCTGCGTTTTCAGTTTGGATGCTACATTTTCACTCCCTCAATATAAAAGGGGGTATCAAATAGGCCAGAGGGAGATGGCAAGGCTGAGAAGCCAGAAGACGTTGTACTTTTCCATTGGCTGGTTCTGTGAGGGCACTCAGGGGTGTCCATGGTCTGCAAAGTGACATGGCCAGCCTCCAGCCAGCCCAGGTTCAGATCATGAATCAGATTAACAAGGGCAGAGAAAAGACTGCTGGGATACGATCGAAACCAAAACCACACTCTTCTAAATGGTTGACTTCCAAAAGTCAATACAGTTTAGGGAGTAGGTGTAGTCTCTAGGTTACCTCCTAAAGTGGAGGCTCAGTGTACCCAGATCTCAGTCAAGCCTCTCCCCCAGACATCCTACATCCAGCCCTGGGCAAAAAGCATAATTTGAAAACCCCTGGTTCCCGGACCACAGTTTTCCCATCGCATAAATGAGGCTAGCCACACCTACCTCAAAATCGGGCTGTGTAGACCCACTCATCTCCTGCCAAGAGATTTGAGGCCTCAGGTCCCAGGTGGAAAGGGCCTGAGATGTCCTAGATGTGATTTCTGTCCTAATCCAAGCATCATCACATGCTCACTTCTCATTAATTTGTCAATGTCACATGATAAGCTAAGTCCAAAAAGGGCCACAAGGAGCTAAACAAATCGCCCAAATGGAGATCATGAACAACATTAATTAAGCAATGGCATCAGCACTCAGCCTTCAGCACACACAGTCAGAGGGAGCTTTTGAATATCTCTTTTTGGCCGGGCGCAGTGGCTCATGCTTTTAATCCCAGCACTTTGGGAGTCCGAGGCGGGCATATCACTTGAGGTCAGGAGTTCAAGACCAATGTAGTTAATATGGTGAAACCCCGTCTCTACTAAAAATATACAAATTAGCCAGGCATGGTGGCATGTGCCTGTAGTCCCAGCTACTTGGGAGGCTGAGGCAGGAGAATCACTTGAACCCAGGAGGTGGAGGTTGCAGTGAGCCATGACTGTGCCACTGCACACCCAGCCTGGGCAACCAAGTAAGACTCCATCTCAAAAATAAAAATAAAAATAAAATAATATAATATCTCTTTTTAAGCTTTGTAGAAGAAAGCACAGTCAAGGCAACATGCAACATTTCCCCAGACAAACACCTTGCCCCAGTGTTCTCCGGGCCGTTGGGGGTTCATTACTACCAGACCACTGGCTTCATGGGGGAGGGGGGCTTATGGCAGTGGGGCCTCAGAAATGTTGCCTCTCCAGGAGCATTAAGAACTGGGTGTTCCGACAGGGGAGGGATATGGCTGACTGAGCGTTCCCAGGCATTCTTGTTATGAGCAGCGTAGGGAGTGGAGTGCTTAGAACCAAATCGGGCAGCAGAAAAATAAAAGATTTAACAACACCCTTAGTTGACTGATAAATAAGACCAACTGTGCAGGAATGTAGGAAGGGTGGAGGACGGTAAGGGGTGGGGATTGGAGCCAGGGAGGGGTCAGGATGAACTAGGACAATGGATTTGACCATTTCAAGAGTCAAGTTTCCTCCTAGGAAAAGACCAAGATGTTCAAGTCAAGGAAAGAGCAACAGCCCCCATCTCAGAATCTTGAAGATTATATAATTAGAAAACAACAACAAAAACTATGACAGTGATAATAGTTCATATTTGTTGAGGGTTTAAATTGTGCTAGAAATAGAACTAGTCATTACATGAATTACCTCATTTAATCCTCACAATAACCCTGAATGTTAGTACTAATATAAGCACCATTTTACAGAGAGAGGTTAAGCAACTTTTCTAAAGACACAAAGCTAGCAAATGGACTGGATATATTATAATAAGTGTACTTGGGAAGGGGTGGGGAAAGCAACATAGTTCTTTTGAAATTACTTGAAAATGGATCCTTGTGTTTCTAAAGAGAAGGAGGATGTCTGTTAGGACGTTATACTTTTAATTTCAAAGTTGAGATCCTTTAAGCACGATTCCCACAACTTTTTCCACCAAATATAAACAGGAGACATATTGATCATCCTTGTACCCTAATATGGAAGCTCCCTTTCAGTGCAAATCAGTCTGGATGCTACAGAAACACAGTTCACAGCCACTCAAACCCATCTATCAGAACTTCAGTCTGGCTTCCTGTTAGAGGCCCCAGATTGACTCAGGGGTTAGGACTGGCTGTCTGAAGCCACCTCAGACTTATTAACCATGATAAAAGAGCAGTAATAACAGCAAGAAAAAAAAAACCTTGGGAAATGAAGGGTGAATTATGGCTCTTTTGGAAGAGCACCTGATGTCTCAGCCATCACAGATTGGTCCTGATGACAGGCTTGCTTGTGTTATGAACATCACTGACTGACCAGAGAAAGACCATGAATATGTTATTGGGGGAGCCTGAATTCCATCCCTCAGGCAAAGAAATCGAGGAAAAGTCTTCCCCTCTTCCACCATCACTACGTCCACATCCCTGTTTTGAATTTTGGAACAGTCTATAAAAACTTAGCCCTAAAACACCAACAGAACTTCATGAGAATTATTTCATTAGCATCCTTGCAGCTTAAGAAGCAAATAACATCTGAATTTTCTCACAAATTAGACGACCTCTCCTTTAGAAGAAGTAAAGTTTCCTTTTATAGAGATAATCATTCAATAGCAGGAAAGCTGAGTTTGTTTTTAGAGCCTTCCTATGAGAACACTAGACTCGTGGCACACCAGGTCTCATTTTTCCTTCCAGAACAGACTTTATTCTGTTTCTCCTGGCTCACTGGTTTACGTAGCAAGCCCTCTGTAAAATAAAATCATGAAAAACCCACCAGTATTGCCAGCAACTCCCTACCAGAAAGGTTTTTCAAGGGATTAAATCCCTTTCAGCCAATTATTCAGCCATCTTTCCAGTTGTTTGGAGGAAAGCTTTGGAGCTCAAACAAAACTGGAAAACTCACTAACTCAAAAACGACATCCTCCCTCCTCAACAGGCCATAGCTTTCCACCAGAGGTTGCGTAGCTGAGCCTGATGAAAATGAGGAGAGGGCTCTCCGCAGCAGCTTCCCAGACTCCCAGTCTCAGGAGTTGTCATACATTCCATTTCACCATAACCAGAGGCAGGACCAGCTACATCATTTGCAGAGCTCAGTGTAAAAGGAACATGCAGGGCCCTTTGTTCAAAACTTACGAAGAATTTTAAGATGGCAACAGCAGAGCCTTAAACCAAACATGGAACCTTTCTAAGCATGGGGCCCCGTGGAACTGCACAGGTTGCACACTCGTGACATCAGCCATCTCCAAAGGGTCAGTCCCCACTTTTGCCTTCACCTGTACCCATGTTTCATTACCGTGGGTGGGCAGGGGATCTCTTCTGTCTTTGTTCCATGCACTACCTCCTGAGGTCATTGGGAGGATTAAACTAAACATGACATTGAACAGGACTGTAACCACCTGGCTTACAGCAGGCACTCAACAAATTACCATTATCATTCTTATTATCATCTTCATTATGCCAAAGTCCCTTCACAACTCCAAGGCTACCCATAGGCAGGAACATATGGGAAGATCATATTCCCCTTTTGGCAGAGAACATCTATCAACTGGCGCTGTTCAGAAGTCATTTCGTTAGTCGTGTGTGAGAGAATGCTGTAAATGAGGTGTTCTTAACCTTTCATCTGTACGATGGATCTGTTTTGTAATCTAGTGAGGCCTACAGGCCTCTTCTCAAAATAATATTTTTACATGACAAATTAAAATATTATAAGATTTAAAAAAATTTATATTAAAAGACAATGTCAAAATACTTTTTAAAATAAATGTGTGATATCATATTATGTTGGTGCAAAAGTAATTACAGAGTTTTTTTTTATTTTTTAATTTTTTTGAGACAGAGTCTCACTCTGTTGCTCAGGCTAGAGTGCAGTGGTGTGATCTTGGCTCACTGCAGCCTCTGCTTCCCAGGTTCAAATGATTCTCCTGCCTCAGCCTCCCAAGTAGCTGGGATTACAGGTGTGTGCTACCACACCTGTATTTTTAGTAGAGATGGGGTTTCGCCATGTTGGCCAGACTGGCTGTTTTTGTAATTATTTTTAATGGCAAGAACCACAATTACTTTTGCACCAACCTGATAACAATATATGTGCTTCCTTGTTAATACATTAAATAAGAATATCTACCTAGTGCAGATCTAACTTGATATCAAATACCCACTTTTTGTGATATATGTAATAGGTGTAATAAGACATGAAAATGTGATTTATCCTGGTGATAGTCACAATTGCAGCTAATACTACCATGGAGTTTTGCCTACATTCATATTGAAAGAAAATGTTAAATTCTAGTTAGAGATTATTGAAAATAAAGACAATTTTTTTTTACATCCAAGTTCACAGAAACCCTGAATTTACCCTTGGACCCCAAGTTAGGGATCCTTGCTGTTTTACTAATAATAAGAACTACTTGTTCAATTCAAATAGGCTCTAGAAACCACATTTGCATGACCAGAAACCTCATTTGAATAATTTACCAAGAGGTAGACCCCAGAGTGTCTGGGCAAAAGAAGTAAGTAGAATTTTTTTTCCCAAAGCCTCTAGAATGCCCAAGATTCATGACCTCAGCATCAGTGGTCAGTAGACATCTGGAGACATGATCAAGAATTTTAGGGGTGGGCAACGGTATACTCACTCCTAAAAGCTAGTCATGTGAACTGCCTGGAGGAGAATCAGTATTTTCTGCAGGTCCCTACTTGCCAGGCATCAGGACACAAGAACAGGAATGTGCTGCATACCCAATCACCCCAAGTCACCCCAGGTCTCCCAGGACCTCCTTGGTTGTGGTTTGCAGTTGACTCAAAACAAGGTTCAATTTGGAGGTCCCCCCTTAATATGGTTCATGCATCTCCCTGCTACCCACCTTCCCAATAAAAACCCTATTGCATTTCTTTCCTAAGGTCACAGTGAAGAACCAATGTTGATCGCCACACACACACACACACACACACACACACACAAACCAAAATCCCAGAATTTAATATCCATTCACTCTGACCCAACAGAAACTCACTGAAAACACCCAAATTGAAGACTTCCCTTGATGTTCATTCCACAAATTACTAATTATTTACTCACAAGCTTTTGTTCAGGTGCTTTCACATTCTTTGTTAATTTAATCTTTACAACAGCCCAATGCAGTAGATGTTATTAACTCCATTTTCCAGATGAGAAAACTTAGATGCTAGAGCTTATATAACTCACTCAAAGTCATTCAACTACCCAGTGGTAGAGTCCAGCTTAAACTCAGGTGTCTGGACTCTAAGTCCAGTGTTCTTTACACCACATCTCAGCAGCTTCCAAGCCATAAAATCTCTTAGCCTCCTACCCCTTCAGATACACATGCAGTCAAATTTTACTCCATCAACATTCCTTGACCCACAGCCTTCTGCCTAGTGGAATTAAGATGACTAAAAGGTGAGCTAGCTGCACTCTAATTTTCTAAGTGGGCATGATCAAGACAGAGGCTGAATTTAGAGTCAAATCTAGAGTACACTGCAAAGACAAAGCAAGTCTTATCATTAGTCAGCCTCATGACTAGATGAAATGAGGCTGACTAGATGAAATCATGACAAGATTGAAAATTGCTCTCATCTTTCAGACTCTGCTCACCTTATTGTCCAGAATATATCATCAGCCCTACTGAGGAGATTTTTTTTAAGGTTCCTAAGAAGAAGCCTGGAATAACCTCCACAAGATGACCATATTCTCCAATCTCCATTGCTCTATTCAAAAAGTAGAAGACCCTCTTCTTATTCCAGGAAAAGCTCAACAGACTTTTGGGGGATGTTGTATCAGGCTAAGAAAGGGCTGGACAGGCAACTGAAATGTTTTGAAGCCACAGTTGGGCCAACAAGAGCCCAGCCCCCAAGATTATTTATTGTGCTTCTGTGATAGAAAGTGGGGTGGAAAAGCAGCTATGAAATTTGATGTTCATAATTGCAACAACATCAAAGAAAAAGGACATTGAGACAAGGTCATACAAAGATAAAAATAAGTTGTTATGGTAAAATGACAGGGTTAATGAGGTGGTCTGTTAGTCTAAAAATCCAACTACTATAATAGGCATTTTGGTTTCTTTTTATTTTTGGCTTTGTTTTAATCAGAAAGCACATTTTGTATGCACCTATACTGGCCATATTTTAAATAAGTAGGCAAGTACCCCTAGTAACAACTAAGATGCTAAAAAAACAAAACAAACAAAAAAAAAGAAGGGAGGAAGCCTCCCAGAGGCCAGGGTGTGTGGTGAGATTGGAGGAGGAGAGATAATGCAGACCAATTGACCAGAACAAGGGGCCCGGCCCCGTAAAACAAACCAAAGACAGAATGCGGTTAGGTGCTTGTGAAATAAGTTTTCATAGGAGTATTTTACAGGGTGTCTCTTTTAAAACAAGGTCAATTAAAACCCTAGGAGCCTCTTTAAATGGGCCACCCTGCTTGGCCCTGTTGCAAGTTCTGGTTTCTCCAGATACAAGGTTGACGCTTTCTGGGCACATCAGGGTCTCCAGGTTAGGCTGCTCAGTGGCTGGGGCAGCCACAGGGTCTTCCTCTAGGAGAAGTGAGTCCACATACGTTCGATCTACTCAGTAAGTCATGGATAATCAGTCAAGCAAGCTCATCAGTACCATACAAACTCAGTAGACACCACGAGTGCCTAAATGTCCATTTTCTGGCGGGCTGCTTTGGCGTTTTATAGAAGACACCAGTAGAGCACCTGCCCCTGTGCATAGGCTGTTCCCTGCCATCACAAAACAGTCTGTTTCATCCACTTCTACATTCCCACCAGCTTGAGACACATGAGGCAAATTGGCAAAGCTGGGATGTTGTCATGGGAGTGGATTCTAACATCCTTAATAAAGGCTCCAGGTGTCAGGTCTTAGTACCTCCACTAGTATAGCCTTTAGCCAAAATTCTGAAGGCCCTAAAGAATCCATTTAAGGGCTCTTGCTAATCTTTCCTGCCTCATCCTTAGAAGGCTTCTCCCACCTGTTCTCAGCTCTCACAGATTCGTGCTTATCCTGCTGACCCCCAGGTACTCCCACCACCCCCAATCACCACAGCCACAGAATCTGAGGGTTAAAATGGATCTTAAAGATGGTCAGGTTCAAACCCTTTTGCCTAGAGGAGGAAACTAAAGCCTGGCAAAGGGGAATGTGTGCTCTGGGACACACAGCTCTGCCAGTGCTAGACCAGGTCCCTAGACTGCCGTCCAGCACACCACCTCACATCCCGCCTTCCCTGCACTGTGCTCCCATCACTCCAAAGCTGGAGTTCAAAATTCTTCAAGGAAGACTCTTAAAGAAATATTTCCACCCCCCTCTGAAGAATAATAAACATTTTAGCAAATAACTCTGAGGGATCCCTGGAAATTTCTACTTCAGCACATCCTGGTTTCCGGACATCAATGTCATTTGGCTTGAAACTATGTCCCACCCTAAGAATAGCTGTGGTGAGGAGCCATTCTCCTCACTGCACTGTTTGTTTCCTGCACAGCTTAGTAGCTTGGCCCTTTGAAACCCCGTTCAATTTAAGTAAACACGTTTTTAATAACAGCAAGATTGTTTGCTCTTTAGAACAAATCTATTATTTTAAAATCATATTCTTAAAAATTAGATATGAAAAATGTCAAATAAAGTTAATTATCTATGCCCTCCTTTCAGTTATAGAGCAAGAGATTTAAGAGAACCTGGGCAAGGTGTGGCTGCCCTCCTGCCTCTGTCTTCAGATGGCAATCCCCGCCGCAGACCCGGCTTACCCAAGCTGAAAGCCACAGCGCCGCGTTCGGTTTCCCAGTAACAAAGGCAGGGTGAGAATGTGGTCTCTAGACACCCAGGCTGCAGTGGAGCCAATGCCTCCCAACCAGGGCCCCACCCACAACAGAAATGAGTGTCACGTCAACTCTACCAGAGAGCGATCTTAACAAGAGAAATGGGCTGAAACGGCAGCAAAATGGTATCCCTGAAAATCAGGTTCAAGCTTTAGATTGAGTTCCTTAAAACCACAACATTGCTTCTCAAGTGTGTTAGCAGATTCTGCCACGGGATTCTTGCTCACCACCCCACCCCTAACCCAGAGGTCTTCGTAAATCACATCTGTATGAAAGGGCATAGAGATGACTCCATATGGAGGAAGGGAGAAAAGACAATAACTTCTCAATAATTTGTACAAGCTTCTATGTCTGTGTTTGATACTGTGACATGAAGCAGGGGTCTTGCCCTGGGCTTTCAGAAAAGCAAGATGGTCTAACGATCACAACCCAGTGCTCAAATCCCCAAATTTGTGGAGATTGGGTGGGTCGGGGGCATGGGAAAGATATAGAGGAAATAAAATATCGCAAGATTCCAGAAAGCGAAATTCTACTTCCTCAGAAGTGAACTTTGGCCAAAAGCACTCACGTTCTGACCTGAGACCCGATAGGAGCTCCTTCCAGTTTCCAATTCGCTAATTGAATGCAACCTAGTAAACCTTTTAACCTCTCAGTTTCCATTTTGTCTCATACCTTCAAGGAGTCAGAAAGATATTGAAAGAAGATCAGGGTAAAGTTGGTCAATTAATGGGAGCATTTAGGGTACCCATAAACATGGAATCGCGAGTGGGAATGTAGGGCTTTCCTGACGTCCACAAAGGCCAAAGATACTTCCACTGGGAGATCACGATAGACTAATAGATTAAAAATGAAAACAATATGGCTGGGCACGGTGGCTGAAGCCTATAATCCCAGCACTTTGGGAGGCTGAGGCAGGTGGATCACCTGAGGTCAGGAGTTCAAAACCAGCCTGGCTGACATGGTAAAACCCCGTCTCTACTAAAAATACAAAACTTAACTGGGCATAGTGGCGAGCACATGTAATCCCAGCTACTCGGGGGGCTGAGTTGGGAGAATCACTTGAACCTGGGAGGCGGAGGTTGCAGTCAGCCAAGATCATGCCACTGCACTCCAGGCTGGGCGACGGAGACTTCATCTCAAAAAAAAACCAAAAAGGATTGTTTGAATTGAACAAATAGGTGCTTTTTAACCAAAAAAATAACAAATACAATTGAATTTGAGCCTTTTCATAACAAACGAGGCCTGAATCAAACACGTCACCCTACCCACACTACCTTGAGAGGTCTTGATGAAGGCTACCATCTTGCGCGGTCATGTAAGAGAACTTACAGCACAGCTGTTCCCTCAAAGTGACTTTCATTTAAAATGCCTCTGTAAAATATTTTGGAAACACGGTGAAGTATTGTCTCCATTACATTTATTATTTTTTCAAGTTCAACTACAGACCTCCAAATGACTCCCAATTCACATTCCATCATGGTTTTTAAATACCATTAGCCATTTGTGTGAAAATGGTGTTGTCTACATGACTCCATATTATAAGAAGATGGAATTGGTGAGTTATTTCATCATCCCAGAATTTTAGGTCACAAAAAGAGGAAAAGTGGATCCTCTGCAAACTTCAAATGCAGCTATTAAAGTCATCCTTAAAATCTCTTAAGAGCCTTTTCTGATAGTATCTCCTAGCCATGAAATTCTTCCTAATAACGTATCTTCTTCTTTTCTGTTAGAAATAAATTTTTCCCCTGACCCCAGTGGAATTAACACACAGTCACACAGAATCTCTAATTGCCCTTTTACACATTGAAAGACTATCAACACATCTTTACCTCCATGGCTGCAGAACCAACTCCTGAATTAGACTTCCATCAGTAAGTTCTTGGAATCCATTCACTCACTTTCTCCCTGTTACCAAGGTGAGTGCAGATAACCAGCAGAGACACCTGTGAACTTGAACCCAGAAGCATACACTCTCCATCTTAAAAACACACACTCCCACCATCCTGGGAGCATGGTAAATCAGCAAAGATGGACGGTGAAAATGTCGCTTTCTCACCTCAGCCTGATATTTACCAACAAGAAGTTAATTTCCCACTGTTCCCAGATCAGTCCACATTGGGGCTAACACTTCTCCACAATGTCCAAGCAAAATCAAAAGAATCCCTGTCTCAGAAGGCATTTGTTGCTGCTGAGTCACAACTGCCTGTCTGATCATAGTCTCCCAAAATGGAGTAAACAAAGGGTTAGTTTGTCCCCTTGTTACACAGTGAAGCCCTTTGCCAAAACTGATTGTTGTATTTTCTGGACAAAATGGAGTAAACAAAGGGTTAGTTTGTAAACAAAGGGTTAGCTTGTCCCCTTGTTATACAGTGAAGCCCTTTGCCAAAATTGATTTTTGTTTTTTCTGAATTTTTGTTTTTGTAGATATTCAGCTCTCCCCAATACCTCTGCCTGCCTTGGCTGCCTGGCCACTTTTTCCAGTGTGATTGTGTATGTTCTTGCCTATTTCTAGCCATTTTCCAGTCCTGGAACATATTAAAAACAAATTGGCCTTTCCATGTAGCTCATAAGTCAGAAAAATTACCAGCAGAAGACATCTCTAGAAAGCGAGACCGTGTACTCTGAGCCCTAACAGCTACTTAGCCAACCACTTCTTCTCTGAGCTATATCAGAGCCACCTATCTCTAGCTGCCTATTTGTTCCAGAAGAATTCAACCCAGGGGAATGGTTTTGCCACCCAGGCATAGGGAAACGAGGGGGCTTTTAAATTCACAGAGATTAGAAGTCCAGACAATGCAGGAAATTCACAGATAATATCCAAAGTAGCCAACCTGCCCTCCAAAATAAAATTCTGATTTGACCCAGTGAGGTAAGCCCAGGTAAGGTGAGCTTCACTTCCTGCCAGCCGTCTCCAAGAGTCTGTTCTAGTTTCATCTGTCCAGTTTAAAGCAGGCTTCTCTTTCCACTCAAGTGTTTGGATTCCAGATTCAAAAGAAGTTTTAAAAATCAGGACTTACCTCATTTACCTAAAGATTCTGGGTGGGAAATCCAATAGCTGTGGCTGTTGGAGGGGAGGCAGCAGGCTGCAATCTCACCAGCTCCTATAGGGATGGGGCACCACGGGTGTTATCAAGTCTGAGCCCTCATCAGAGTGAAGATAAATGCATATAACAATAATTTTAAATCATTTTGTAGGATGTTAAGCAATAAGCCACCAACCGGGAATTCCCTAAGTCACTTCCCCCTCTTCTGATTGGCTACCCAGCCCTTTAAAAAAATAAAATAAAGGATTACAAACACTGGCTCATTTGCATTTGGCCAACTCACACGTTAGTGTTCAAACAAAACAGGTCTAACCAGGTAATGCCTGTGTCTCAAGAACAGAGAGACAACCTGTTAATGGATGAGGAATTGATTTGGTGGTGACTGTTCTTTTCAGCTCAGAGGCTGTTTCAGGTGAAAAGCACCCTGCTCACCAAAGACACCATCGGGAAGAGGGAATGTAAAAGCAAAGTGAGTAGAAGTCCAAATCTGGAGGAGATGATGGTATGGAGGGGCCCTCTTGAGCACCTGTCTCATTTATTAGTCTGTATTTAGTCCACCCTGCTTTGGCATCAAGATCTTTTCCCTAGCTCTATAAGTACCAGGCTCTGAAGGGGCTCCCAGCAAGTTCCCTCTCCAGGCACCATGACTGCCTTCTTGACAGAGACTCTTGGCAATTCAATGGACTTTGAAAAGCCTATCTCCCCTGGCCCCAGGTAAGAGCCTTGAGAGGTTTGAAAGGGAAGGTCCTGGGAGGGAGGGTACCTTATGAGGAGATGCTTAGGTCAAGCAGTCAACTCTCAAATATGCAAGAGCTGATTATCCGGTTGGTGGATTATCTAGGTTCTTCACTTCCTCTTGACACTTACATGATCTTTTTTAAAAGGTTTATTGACACTCCCTATAAGAGTTAGAGATGAGAAGACCAAAATGCTGAAACTGGAAATAAAAAAGCACAGTTTGGACAAGAAGAAGGTGGAATATTAGGGAGGATCTACGGATTCAAATACCCAGGCAACCTCTATTCCCTTGGGCCAAGGGACATATGGGGAGTTACCTGTACCTGCTTCACTGGGTCACAAATGTACCTTCTCCCATACGGGTGAATGACTGCTCCTAGCAAAGAAAAATACCATCCCCCAACCATTAACTTTCTCTGTTGAACCTTCCAGGACACTGGCCTGGCATGAGCAAAGTGTCTAAGCAGATTTCTTTGACTCAACGGGCCTCCCTTTTGTGGGAGAGGGAAGGGAAGTTGAGATTTGGCAGAGATAAAGATTTTGTGATCAAAACCAAGAAGTTACTTGTGTTAAAAAGAAAAAAAAAGGTCTGCTTATGGTCAAAGGCTGACTGAATAGAATAAAAACTGGTTATTATATTAAGGGGGAACAGTGAGTGTGCAGTAGTATTAGTCTTTTCTTACTTATTTTTTCTAGTTTCTACACAAATTCAGAGGTTTCTGAAAGTGTAAAAGACTCAGTGGGAAAACAAGGGTGGACTTGGGAAGGTCTTGGAAGCTGGGCAGGTCTTGAAGAAGGGCTTGAGGCTTTGGTCAGTGCAGTTTAGGGGAGTTCTAATAAATCCCTCTGCCTCCCTAACCTGCCCCAGACATTCCCACCCTTCCCAACTGTTCAACCCTGTGAACTTGCCAAGGGCCCTGTGAAAATGCAAATGTAAACCCCGCCCCATATACACACTGATAAAAACAACAAATTTCATTATTTCCCATTATCACATTAGCCCCAATTAGTCTATCAGTTCCAGATCTGAGAGCAGGGCCCTGAGGGAATGGCCTGCTGGAGTTTTGCTTGAGAGACAAATCAGGCACAACCTGAAGTAACTACATTCCACCCACTGCAGGGCATTTGTGTGTAGTGATGGTGAAGGGGGGTGGGTGGCGGGGCACTCATGAGAAAAGGGAAGCATTATTGCTAGAGCCCGTGGGACTCCAGGGAAACAAACTTGGCCTTCTTTACACCATTGCCTGAGATTAACCTGAGACAGCAGGGTGGGAGTAGAAGGGCTAGGGTTGTGTGGTCAAGAGATAGTGAACTTCAAATGCAACCACAAAAGTGATGTGGCTCTCTGACCCAGTCCCAATCACCTTTAATTATAGGCCCTGTAATTTATAGCTGAAGAATTCTGGTTAAATCTCCATTTCTTTATCCACTTGTATTTAGTCCATTTTAGATTGGAGGGCTATTGAGACGAGTCATATTGGGGTAGTGATGGTGGGAGGGGAGGGAAAGATGTCACCTCATACTCACAAGCCACTTTATTTGTGGAGGTTTTTTTGTAAATAAAGTACCTAAAAGTGTGCCTGCTACTTGCTGGGTACTTATTAAGTATTGATTCTTCTTTTTACTTGGGTCTTAGTTGAACCTTCCAGAAGAAAAACAAAAATGAAAACAATACCCCTCACCCCCAACCTAAAAAAAAAAACACAAAAAAGCTAGAATTGCAGGTATATTGCATCCATACGGAAAGTCCTTTGGAGTTTGAGGTCTTTCACCCTACTGCCAACTTCAACAAGACAGTACTGGCGATAGATAGATAGATGATAGATAGATAGATAGATAGATAGATAGATAGATAGATAGATAGATAGATGATAGATAGATAATGATGGGATGAGATGGATGTCTCAAGGCCTTCTACTACAAGTCTCAGATATATCAAGTATGTCCTTTATGGATAAGAAGTTTAAAGTGTAATCACAAAATCATCAAACACAGCAGATCCTTAATATGGACACATTGTAAGTTCTCAAGGAGGACTCTGGCAAGAGAGACCTCCAGCACTTGTTCTGTGCTCCTGAATTCTCTGGGGGGCTGATAAAGACATAGCAAAATGAACAGAGTGATAAACAAAGCTGATTGTCTTTATTCTGTGGATGGGAAGAATCAAGAGAGAGAGGCCAAGCAGCTTGCCCTCAAATCAACTGAAACAAACTCTAGAAACCCAATTACTCTGCATAGAAATCTTCCTGGTTGTCCCTACAGGTCAAGGCCCTATCACCCTCTCCAACCTGTGCACAGACACAGAGCCCTTGAGTTGAGTCCTGTGCTGGTCCCCACAGAGGAAAAGGGGAACAGAGCAAAGCAAACCAGGTTGTGTGTGGTGGCCTGGAGACCCGGAGGTCAGTCGGGTTGTCTCCTAGAAGATCCATACTGTAAAACCAAAAACCCTAGGGATCTTAATTCCCAAATCAAGGCCAGGACAAAGAATCTCTTTAAGCCAAGTATCAAGCATTAAGGAATCTGAGTCTTAACACCAACACAGGCTGTGGCTACAAGATTAATGGAAGCTGTGTGCTTGCTTTGCAAGAAAGAGGATGCTCACACACTTTACACAATACCTTTTAACTAGAGGGCCTATATTTATTTTTGAAAGCAAGTGTGTGTTTGTATATATTTCTGTCTATCATCTCCTCCTAATGACGTGGTGTTACCTCCAGGGCAGAACACGGCATCTATTTAGTGAAAGCCGTACAAGAATATTAATGTAAGACCAATGGGAAGAAGAAACTCCTTCTGGTCTTGTGAAACTTATGGGGAGGGGGAATTAAATCGAGCAGAATATGATCATTTATTATACTGGTTACAGTCAAATAAGCAACAGAATTAATAAGTATCATTTTGCTTCTTAATGCTACTCCCCTCTAAAGGTCACATTTCCCAAATCTTTTGGTTTTGGATTAGATGAGGTTCCTGGGGATCTTCATTATCCTCTAAGGACAAGCTTTACGGTCTCTGAAGGGGGCACCTGAGTTCTGTTTGGGAGGTCACACGTTGACAGTTGTTCTAACAGGTTGATGTGACACACACCAGCAATGCCTCCTGACATTATGTCTGTGTGCCTGCATTCTGAGCAAATCCTGGCCCAATGGCATGTGCCACTGGCGTGCCAAGGTGGGGGCCACTTTGGTGCTGGAGGAGGGGAGAGTGGCTCACTCTTCCTGAGAAGAATGACCCACTGTGTACACACACACGTGCATGCCCACACACATACACACACAAAACTCAGGCATCTGAACATGTTGCTAAACTTACCCAAGCACCAAGGATGAATTTTCTGGACTCCTCCTCCATATTTTAATTAATATCAAGACGCCTCTATTCTTGCCTAAACTAATTTGCCCCTGCCCTGTTCCTTTGGTCTCGCCTGTATTTTATCAATCTCTTTCTGGCCTTATCTTTCCCCACAAATAGCTTTACACTGTTCCCTGACTTCAAGCCAACCTCACTGCTACGATAAGCATTTTGGTTCTTGAATCCAACTGTCTTAGTTTCTTCACAGTATTTCCATCAGGGTCTTCAAGAAGGCTCATTTCTCAGTCTCAGAAAGGGAGGGAAAATCATGAAAAAGGTGGCCATTTTCAGGCAACCTTCCTGTGGCCAGAATTTCTTCTTTTTTGTATGAGGAAGATTTCTTTATAAGTATAGCACTTAGGATTTTTTTTTGTTTTTCCAGGTATTATTCTTTTTATATTGACAAATAAAATTTGTATATATTTATGGAATAAAACATGACATTCTGACATGTCATATATATGTGTGTGTGTATATATACATAAACATATATATATATATATATACACACACACACACACACACATTGTGGAGTGGCTAAATTGAGCTAATTAACATGGGCATTACCTCACATACTTGCCATTTTTGTGTGTGGTGAAAACACAATCTACTCTCTTAGCAATTTGCAAATACATGATACATTGTTATTGACTATATTCACCATGCTGTACAATTAGATAGCAATTGTTTTAACATAAGAACTCTTTGTTTACTACCATGGAATCCCAAAAGTAAAAGAGATTAAAGAAATGCAGCCATATATGGACCGGAGGTAGGGCAGCTACAGCCCCACCCCCTTGTTTTCCCTTCCCTACCCTCATAGGCATCCAGCCTTCTCTGCTATATAGTTCTCCCTGCTGTGTCCTTTCTAAGCTAATGAAGCATCCAAATTACCTTTACAAATTCAGACTCCTGAGTTCCTCCACACATCTACCAAATCAGCAAACACCTCCAAGGGTGAGGTGATAGTGGAGAAAACCATCCATTTTGCATTCCTCATTTTCCATTCATATTTAGTAGGCTCCCACATTGTTCCACAGATGATCAACCAGAGAACTCACTCAAGAAGATATTTTGGTAGAGCCAACCTTGGGTAAAGGTCTCAGGGCCTGGCCTCTTTCACCCAGGAACCATGAGAGACAGCAAACTCAGGTCCAAGTAGAAAATGTATAAAATCTCCATCCAGATGCCTAATTATTTGGGATAACGTGTGGCATCTCAGAGCCTATTCCAACAGACTTACAAAAGCAAGGTGGCTCTGCTCCTCAGAAGCAGCCTGATGCGGTGAAAGGACATTGTTTTTAAAGCCAGACAGCCTAGGAAAACTTTGCCATATTTGCTCAAACTTTAGGTCTCAGTTTCCCTATCTGTTTATTGGGGATATTAACATACTCAGTGAGCTGTTTGGGGGGTTAAATGAGAAATAGTACAAAGCATTAGGAGATTGCATGGCACTTGGTGGGCTCTCTGGAAATGCTTATTTACTCCCTCCACTAAGTGTAGAGCTTGAACTCCAATACTTCCACCTTAGCAGGGAATGAAGTTTCATATGAGTGGCCAGAGAACTAACCCTCCATGTTTCTAAGAAAAAGTAGAAGAGGCCAGGCACAGTGGTGCGGCATCCTGTTATCCCAGCACTTTGGGAGGCTGAGGTGGGTGGATCACCTGAGGTCAGAAGTTCAAGACCAGCCTGGCCAACATGGTGAAACCCCATCTCTACTAAAAATACAAAAATTAGCCAGGCATGGTGGTGGGCACCTGTAATCCCAGGTACTCGAGAGGCTGAGGCAGGAGAATCGCTTGAACCTGGGAGGTGGAGGTTGCAGCGAGCCAAGATCATGCCATTGTACTCCAGTCTGGGCAACAAGAGCGAAACTCCATCTCAAAAAAGAAAAAAAAAAAAAAGAAAACAAATGAAAAAAGAAAGGGAAAAAGTAAGAGAAGGAGGTGAAGCCGGAATGGCATAGAAAAAAAGAAACAGAATAGTGACTATTCATATTCGTTAAGTTTTCATCTTTTCCCAGTGACTAGACTAAGAATTTAATTTGCATTACTTCATTTAAGCCTTAGAAAAACTCCATCAGATAGGTACTATTCATTTTCTCACTTTATAGATGAGAAAACCGAGCCTCATGAGCCTGATAAGTTAACATGGCCAAGGTTGCACAGTAAATAAGACAAGTAGCTGGAGCTCAGACCAGACAGCGTCATTGCAAAACAAGATCTCTTAACCACAATCCCCTCCAGAAAAGAGAAGCTTAGCAGCTGGCTGAAATTTGAATTACAAGATCTTACATGGACATGGAAAGTCAAGCTCAGTTCTGGAATGCAATTGGAAATGTGAATGTTTCTCAGAAGAGCGAGATCGGAAAGTTGAAATGAAAAAACAAAAGTATAAAATATACAAGCAGGTTTGGATCTTACAGAACAATGTTTAGCCCCTGCCCTTCAGAGCCAAATATTTAAAAAGCTAAATGCTCAGAATAAGAATCGAGGGGAAATCCATTGGAAAAGTTGTGACTTGGTCTTGCCTGGGAAGTCATGAGGCTCTTGTGATACAAAGGTCACTCTGCCACCCACCAGGTTTAATAGCACTGAGCAAGCTTAACACCCCAGGGAGATCCTTAGGCATTTGGATCCAGAAATAGAGCAAAGAGTTGCTGTGATAACAAAGGCATTAAATATGAAGGTCAAGGGCAGTAGTGAAACCTAATTGGGGTGAGGTTCACTATCAGTTTCTCCATCCTCATTCTTAGTATGCAATTGAGAGTGTATCAAAGTAGTATAAAATCAACCAGACTGCTGCCCATAATGCCTTTCAGATAGAAAGCAGGAGATCCAGACCAGTGCCTTTCAGATAGAAAGCAGGAGATCCAGACCTGCTGATGCCCATGGAAAGAATGCATCTACAAACCCCCTGGAAGTGATATTGGAGAGTTGACAGCACATCCATTGCAACTATTCAAAAAGACTCATTTGTATAAATAAATTATCCATTCAGTTCATTCAAAACATATGCACCTGCACACTGGTGGAATGTCAGAAAAGAAGCCCTTGGAATTATTTCTGAATAATTTCATACTCAGGGGAAATTCAGATGAAATCTCCCAATATGTGTCATGGCATGTCTATGACTTTTGTCCCCTCTCTCTCCCCCACCCCTATTCTTAGCAATCACATGTGAGTCCAGGGTTTGGAATTAGTCAATCTGTCTTCCTGGACAAGGAAATTAGGCCAAAAAGTCCTATTTTGAGACTTAGTTTCTTTTATGACAAGGCCCTAGGAAAGTTTGATGAGAATTTTGATTTAAGTTTAGAGGTTAATAGCTCTGAAATTCTAAGAACCAAAAAGTATTATGTAGGTGGGTGTACAGTAAAACTGAAATAAGGAAGTCTTCTGCAAACTGAGCCAAAAATCTGCATAGTCAATGCATCTGAAAACTTTTCGTGTGAGGATAGCCCTGCTGTGAAACAGACCAACCACACTCGGCTCACTTCCTTACAGTGGAAACATGGAAGCTATTAAGCTTGGTTATGCTGGAAAGAATGGGGTAAGAAGAGCAAGGGGAAAGAGACATCTCTGACAAGGGGAGTGGGAGAGAAGAGCATGCCTGGCTTGCTGTGGACTTTGTCAATTAATGCCAAAAATACTTTAAAGTCTTCTTAAGGTTTATGATCCTCAAATTCATCAGTCTGTGGCTCTCCAGGAGTTGCCAGAACCACCAGGGCAGAAAACCTCAGGGAGTCCAACTTTAGATCTCACAATTGTCTATGGTTGTGGTGGGGGATGGTGCTGTTGGCAAACATCTGATTTTTGCAAATCCATTTTCTTTCCAGTTTGGCAGGTCACCTTAACTTGGAAGTTCAATGCCCAGCTGGGAATAATATGCTTATTAGGGGATGGGCCAATGGTCTGTGAACTTGAGCCTTGGCTGGGGGTAACATTCTTTGCACAACCAGGTAAAACAAGCCTGGAAAGCCACAGCATCATGCCAGTGCAGGCATCATTACCAGGCACCCAGACCCACTGGGGGTCACTGCACAGCCCACAGCCTTACTCAGAGTAGACCTGTTTACTCTTTGAACTGCAATCCCTCCCATTCCTCAGAGCTGTTGGCAGCAAGCATGGGGGAGAAGGCAGAGCTGCTGGGAAAGAGGGCAAAGTGAGACCAAGAAGAGAAAAGACAGAGAGAGAGAGAGAGAGAGCAGTTCTTGCATATTTCATCCGGATGACCATTGAGAGACTTTGAAATGCCCCCCAAACTTGCGTTGATAATATTTCTTACCATGTTAGTCACAATTGCGCCAATGTTTTATGCACATATCTTCCACTCAGTACTTCCTCACGTGTGTAGTCTTCCCAAAAAGCAACTGAATCATTTCTTCTTTCAAAAATCTTTGTCGGTTCCCCAGTTGCTGGAGCTGTGGTCCTCAGAGGGAAGTACACCTACCTCATGTGGTAGGCAAGATGATTCTAAGTTCAAATCGTAATTTTTATTTTAACAGCCATGTGTGTTTGATATGAAAACAAATGTAAAGTTAAAAAGTAAGTCACTTGAAGGAAAAGTGTTAAATAAGTAATATAGGTAGGTACACAGACATGGCAAATATGGTGACAATGGAATGAGGGGGATTGAAATTTGGAGAAAAAAATGGCTTAACGACAGGCAGTCCAAACTCCCTGAGGGCATGGCATTCTCCATCCTCCACCACCTGGTCTCCACCGACATGTCCAGTCCTCAGGCCCTTGGTCTCCAACTCTACCTCACAGGGTCCACCCCAGGTGCAGTGGGCCCATGTCACTTCTGCACAAGCATTCTGTGCTCCTCTGCTTCCTGATCCCAACACGTGGTATCCAAACCGTTTCCAATGCTATTTCTCCATTCAGTCTTCCCCAGATTGCCTTCATCAGAATCTAAATCTCCCTGGACCATTGGTTTGTACTTGGAATTATTCAATAGTCTACATTCCACCAATGTTTCTGGAGTTTCTGCCATATTCTGGGCACTGGGGCTTCAGCTATAGAAGTAAAAAAGAAAACAATTCCTGCCCTCATGGAATGGAGATTCAGATGAAGCAAGATGACAGCATGTTTCCTATTCTGCCATGTGGGGCTGGTTTGGGCACCATTTTTCCACACCCAGCCTGGCGAACCCTGGCAGACAGCGCTCTTCATCACGGTCAAATACCCGGAAAGTCCTGACGTGACTCCCTCCAAGGACGAGGGCATTCAAACCTGCTTGTTGAACTGAACAAGCAGGTTGAATTGAAAAGACATCTTTGCAGAAAGAAACAGTGCAGAGTTGCTTCTGCCATTCTCTCTGCGTCCTCCTCTTCTCTCTCTTATCCCTATCCCTTTTCCAGGCCCACCAACCAACCCTCCACGGAGAGGCCGCATATAGAGTAACCAACTCATCTTAGACTTTCCTGATTTTAGCACTGAATGCCCCACATCCTAGAAAACCCCATATTCCCAGGCAAACCAGGAAGGTTGGTCAATCTAGATGCACACACATAGATTTTGCTCCAATACTACTTTCTCCAACAGCTATGTGTCCTTGGGCAATTACCTACCATCTCTGAGCCCCTATTGTCTCATCTACAGATGGAAATAATACCATCCCCCAAGGCTGCTGTGAGGATTAAAGATATAATGTAAGTTTAGGGAGATCACCTTGCACCATGAATGGTTGCTGTGATTGATACTGTTGGTAGACTGAGAGCAGTGCAAAAAGAGAGCACTGTGCTGAATCAAAGAACCTCTGATCTGGTTAATGCCTGCTGAGCAGTCATCTCTCTTTTGGAGGCTGACATGCCAATGGTCTTGTGGCCACAATGGACATAGTTTGGCCAGGGTCTCTGAATGGCAGGAAACAAGCAACTTGCTGCCAAAGTGCTGTAAACAAAACCCTCAATCTACCCAGCTCTGCCTTATTATTTTTATTAAGCACTTACTATGTGCCAGATACTAAGATCTCATTTAATCCTCACAAAGGCCCCACAAAGTAGCATGATAATCCCTCATCTTAAGATGAGGACATTGAAGCTGAGAAACATTAAGTAACTTACCCAAGGACACACTGCTGGGAGGACAGATAGAAACCATGTCTGCCTGATCTCAGAGCCTCTACCCCTAAGCACCACCTACCTATCCACAAGAAACATCCTCTCCCTGTGCCCCAGCAGGAGCTGACAGCTTTGCTCCCTTCCACATAGAAGGAAACTGGCATTTTACTAGGCACTGGGCAATCTGATCAGTCTTGGAAGAAAGGGGAATTAGCGGGCGAGCCCTTGCTTGCTGGGAGATGGTTTACCCTGAAACCCTTCTGGGTTTCCCAGAACCCTGAGTAAATATTAACATAATCTCATTACATTGCTCATTATATTGCTTCAGATTGAGGATAAAACATAGAAGCAACCTGGGCCAATGTACCCTTGTGGTTTGAACGGATTGTTTTTCAGTCCAACAGTCTAATTTATGCAGACGGCATTATGGAGGAAAGGGTTCCTGACTTGGAAACAGACTGGGGTTTTCATCCCAAGTCTACCACTTACTAGCTATGCCACTTTGGACAACTTGAGGCTCAGTTCTCCCATCTGTAAAGTGGGTGTAAGTTTGTCCCAGCATCAGCATTAGCATCCGCATCACCACTCCTCATGGAGTGCTTCAGTTTGCTAGGCACTGTACTTGCATCTTTGCATCAATTCCTCTCAAAAGCTCTTGGATGCAGTTACCATTTTTATCTCTATTTTATAGTTGAGGAAATCAAGGCATAGACAAGTTAGGAAGGTTGGGCCAAGGTCATACCTCTAGATAAATGACAGAGCCAGGTCTGAAACCCACCTAAGAACCTTGCTGTTTATCCCTGTGTACTACTTGTATAACCTGTGCTGTAAAGCTTTCATTGAGATGACACGTATGTACGTGCCTGGCTCATAGGTCACCTATGATAGCATCCTCTGTTCCGTAATTCTCTGCCACTGCTCCTTACGCATGCCTGGAAAGAAGAGAGAGGGGATCACCCTCTCCATGGGCGCACCCACGCCTTCCCAAACTGCACTGCTCTCCAGGGTGACAGCTAATGATTCACCAGTTTGGATAAGCACAAGTGAGCCTGCTAGTGACTCAGGGACATGCAGGGACCTACGAAAGAGCCTCTACCTACAGAACAAAGCCAGACAGCAACTTGTGATGAAGATAATTACAGGCTGGAATGGCAACACCAAGGCCAAGGACTGTCTAGTTTATATGGTAATTAATCACAACCTCAAAGGCTTTGAGGAGGTCTGGAGGCTCCACTGGGGACCAACTAGGATTTTAAAAACAAAAACAAAAAACAAAAAAACTTCCCCCAGTCCCTACTACCACACTGCATAATCTCCTTGCCTTTCCTCCCAGCATACGCCCAGGCCCAAGTCCCCCAACACTGCCCCCAACTAGCCCAGTATTCTCAAAAAGGGTGATAGGAGGGCATAGGGTTGGGAATGTGGTAGAGCTGTCAAATATACACAAATCTACAATGTCAGTTCAAAAATGGAAGTCATGATCCTTCGCGTTGTCCTGCAACAGGATAAAAATAGCTCATCTTTCATCAAGACAGAAGAAAACCTACCACTATCGTATCTGGTAATCTATAACACCACCCTCTATCTCCAAGTTGAACCCTGCTGTGCTGAAATCGAAGCTATATGCAGCATTTTGGTTTAAAGTCAGATAGACCTAAGTTTGTATTCCAGATTTGCCACATGTGGCTGTGTGACCTTGACCTTGGCCAAGTAATTTGACTTCTCCGAGCTTCTGCTTCGTCTTTTTTTTTTTTAATGTGGATCCTGACAGTGCTAACTCTATAAGGTTAAGAGGATTAAATTACATAACACACATAAAAGGCTACTTTTGTCAGTCATTTCATGTATTATTCCTATAATTCTGAATCCTCTCTCCTCCTTCCCCGGCACATAGCCATCTACCTTACACAATTTCCATTCATCACCATCTCCCTAGTGCTCTTGGCTTGATCCTCTGTCCCTGCTTATGAAAATTTTTAAATGGGCCAGTTGAATTGGTGACCAACTCCAATCTCAGTTTCCTAATTCTTTGGTCATCCCACTCATGCCAGCAGTGGGGCCTGTCTTCTTAGTGATCCAGTTCCAGAACTTTCCATTGGCCCCTTGTTTTATGTTGCAGAGGCTGGAGAGGCCCCTTTCGCCCTCCCCACCCAGGCCATCCCTTTCTGAGTGCTCACTGTCTCACCTGTACACAGCACCAGAGGTCATGGGATACTTCCATGGAAACGCTATTTGGTTGCCTGGTGTTTTGCATTTTGTAACACCAAAGGCCTGATAGAACCAGGATGTGGGACCAGCCACAGCTCGACAATGACAAAGACACACTTTTTAAAACTAACACCTCGACCTCTTCATACCTTCCTCCTCTCTCTGACTATCCTCCTTCCAAACACAACCGAGATCTGTGTGTCAGAACTTTCAATAACAACAATAATAATAATTTCTTGTGTCAGGCGCAAAACTCTCTGCTTAAAGTACGTTTCTCCATTGCTGCTAGATTTTATGTTTGGAAATGTGAATATTCCATTGAACCCTCACAGCCAGTTTCCCAAATACCCTAGGGCTGGTTCTTACCATTTTATTGGATAACCATGTCTCGGATGGCCCTACCTACTGGTGTTATATAAGAACAGGCTTGTCAGACAGAGGAGCAGTGTGATGAAGCAGGCAGTGGCCACATGACCATTTGAGGGAGGAGGAGCGTTTCATGGTTTTAAAAGCCTCAGCAAGGCTGGGCGCAGTGGTTCATGCCTGTAATCCCAGCACTTTGAGAGGCCAAGGCGGGCAGATCACCTGAGGTTGGGAGTTCGAGACCAGCCTAACCAACATGGAGAAACCCCATCTGTACTAAAAATACAAAATTAGCTGGGCATGGTGGCACATGCCTATAATCCCAGCTACTTGGAAGGCTGAGGCAGGAGAATCCCTTGAACCTGGGAGACGGAGGTTGCAGTGAGCCAAGATCATGCCATTGCACTGCAGCCTGGGCTACAAGAGTGAAACTTGGTCTCAAAAAAAAAAAAAAAAAAAAAACCTCAGCAGTCCAGACATGGTGGCTCACGCCTGTAATTCCAGCACTTTGGGAGGCCAAGGCAGTCAAATCACTTGAGGCCAGGAGTTCGAGACCAGCCTGGCCAACATGGCAAAACCCCATCTCTACCAAAAATACAAAAATTAGCCAGGTTTGGTGGCACGCACCTGTAGTCCCAGCTACTCCAGAGGCTGAGACATGACAGTCACTTGAACCTGGGAGGCAGAGGTTGAAGTGAGCAGAGATCACGCCACTGCACTCCAGCCTGGGCAACAGAGCAAGACCTTGTCTCATGAAAAAGCTTCAGCAGAGGTGGTAATGCCTGTGGTTGGTCCAGGCATGGAAGGCAGGCACTCTGTTTGTGGGAGGGTGTATTTGTACACTCTTTATGAAGAGCAATTTGGTAGTACCTACCAAAATTTAAAATGCTGGTATCCTTTGAGTCAGCAACCCTATTTCTAGGAATTTCTCTCATAGATATATGTACAAAAGACCAGAAAAAATATATGATGAAAAATTGCAACTAACTTTAATGTTTACCAAAAGGAAAATGCTAAATAAACTATAGTTCACCTAGACCATGAAGTAATATTAAAAAGACAGATCTATATGCCATGATGCTGAAAGATTTCCATGTAATGTGAATAAACAAGCTAAAAAACAAAGTTTATAATATGATTATATTTTTTGTTTGAATATATATTTTATATGTGTCTGGGCAGATATACAACAAAAAATTAATAGTTGCTGCTAGGGGTGAGATTGGGGGCAAGGTTCATCCTTTTTTAAATTTTATGACAGATATATTTGTTCATATTTATATCTATATTTATATAGATACATATTTGTATCTCATATGATAAAAATATTTCAAAGAATGGATTTCTCAGTTCCTCTCCTTCCATCCCTCTGGTAGACTGTTCCAGCAAAGCAGTTCCTAATAATCCCAAATAAACACTTATTCAGAGCTTTGCAGTTTACAAAGCAATTTTGAAAAAAAAAAAAAAACTTGTTCAAATATCACACCATCACCATGATTCCCATTTTACAGATGAGGAAACAGAGGCTCAGTGAGGAAAAGTGCTTCTGCCCATGTCAAATGCCTGGTGGCTGCAAGAGCCAGGACTGGAAGCTCAGGTCGTCCATATCTAGCACCAGGGAGCTTTTCCAGCCCTCTCCAACTGATACCTGCTATACCTCTTCCATGGCCAAAGTCAGATAGATCTTCTCTGGCACAGGTGAAAACGAGACCTGGACATGGCTTAGAAATTTGAGGGTGGAAGGGAGAAGAGCAGAGAGAGAAGGGGAGGTGCAGGGCATGGTGTAGAAGAAAGGTTAAAAAGTGGCTTGGCATTCTGTTCTACAATTAAATGCATAGGCCACCAGCAAACCAGGTAAGCAAGATCCTAACCGGGGCCTCCTTCCTATGCCTGCTCTGTTGTTTGAGGATGAGTCATTTGTCACCATCTTGCTGTGAGCTGCATGTGAGCTGAGCCTAAACACCAGTTTGGTGCTGCCCAAGACCACTATAGGGAGCTGTCCCCAGAGCCACAGTTTGGAGAAGAGGAGATCCCAGAGGCCTTCCTGGCCTTTCTATAATGTGCATCTCCTTGTTCAACACCCTTTGATGGCTCCCATGCCCTTTGGAGTAAAGTCCAGCGTCCATGATACTATTCACAAGGCCCTCTGTGACCTGGCACCTACCTATTTCTGCAGCCTCATCTCCAGCTGTCTCTCACCTGATTTTTACATACTGGCTCCTTTCATTTCCCCAAACAGGCAGGCCATTCTCCCATTCTCTTTCTCTCTGCTTCCTCCCCACATTATTGCATAGACTGCCCCACATGCCTAGGTACATTTACTCCTTGTCTTCCCTGGCTAACTGCTGCTCATCCTTAGACCCCAGCCCAAACACAGCTTCCCTGGGGGGGCCTTTCCTGATGAGCTCACCCCGCCACCATTCAGTCCCCACCTGAGTTGTTGCCTCTCTGCTCCAGAGTCTTCACCTCTCCAGCACATACCACACTGTGTGGTAACATCTCATGTACTTCCTCTCTCTTGAGCTGGACTATCACAGCAGCAGGGGCATTTTAGGAATCCACAAATATGTATTGAACGAATGGAGAATGACATGGTGTGGATGTCACCCCACAGCAGATGACAGGTATCAGACTTCAGCAATGGAACTTAGCCCCACCGGCTTGGCGGGTGTCACGTAAATCCCACTGCCTTGGTCCACATGGCCAGTTTCTCTCTGTCAATGCCTAGGAAATCGTAAGTCTTGAATGACAGGCATGTTGAAAAGGGCAGTGACCAATGGAAGATTGATTCATAGTGAGAAATTTCTGGCAGGTTCTAACCACAACTCCCTAGGGATAAAAACAGAACAACCTCAGGTTTACAAGGTGGTAATAGAACCAAAGGGCTGAGACCAGTGTCAAGAGGTCATTGAATTCATTCCCCTGCCTTCAGGCAAGGCTGGCTCAGTCACAGACCAGTGGGTGTTTCCTTATATTATTAGCAGGAGTAATTATTATTATTATTATTATTTTCATTAATAGC